>NC_000011.10:53831806-53986855 GCF_000001405.40 Homo sapiens | reverse complement strand
TCCGTTTGGTTTTTAGATGAAGTTATTTCCTTTACTACAGTAGGCCTCAAAGCAGTCCAAATCTCCAATCGCAGATTCTACAAAAAGATGGTTTACAACCTGCTCTATCTATAGGAATGTTCAACTCTGTGAGTCGAATGCAATCATCACAAAGTAGATTCTGAGAATGCTTCCATCTAGTTTTTATGTGAAGATTTTCCTTTTCCACCACAGGCCTCAAAGCCCTCCAAATGTCCACTTGCAGATTCTAGAAAAAGAGGGTTTCAGAGCTGCTCTGTCAAGAGGAAAGTTCAATTCTTGAAGTGGAACACAAACATCACAAAGTAGTTTCTGAGAATGCTTCTGTTTAGTTTTTCTGTGAAGATGAACCCGTTTCCAACGAAATCTTCTCAGAGGTCCACATATCAACTTGCAGAATCCAAAGAAAGAGAGTTTCAAAAGTGCTCCATCAACAGGATTGTTCACCTCTGTGAGTTGAATGCAGTCATCACAGGAAACATTCTGAGAATGCTTCTGTCTAGGTTTGATGTGAAGATATACCCGTTTCGAAGGAAGGCCACAAAGTGGTCCAAATATCCACTTGCAGATTCTACAAAAAGAGTGTTTGAAAGCTGAACTATGAAAGCAAGGTTCAACTCTGTGAGTTGAATGCAAACATCACAAAGAAGTTTCTCAGAATGCTTCCGTGTAGTTCTGGGAAGTTTATCCCGTTTCCAACGAAATCCTCAGAGAGGTCCAAATATCCACTTGCAGATTCTACAGAAAGTGTGTTTGGAAACTGCTCCATCTAAAGGAATGTTCAGCTCTGTTAGTTCAATGCAATGATCACTAAGAATTGTCTGTGAATGCTTCCGTTTGGTTTTTAGATGAAGTTATTTCCTTTACTACAGTAGGCCTCAAAGCAGTCCAAATCTCCAATCGCAGATTCTACAAAAAGATTGTTTACAACCTGCTCTATCTATAGGAATGTTCAACTCTGTGAGTCGAATGCAATCATCACAAAGTAGTTTCTGAGAATGCTTCCATCTAGTTTTTATGTGAAGATTTTCCTTTTCCACCACAGGCCTCAAAGCCCTCCAAATGTCCACTTGCAGATTCTAGAATAAGAGGGTTTCAGAGCTGCTCTGTCAAGAGGAAAGTTCAATTCCTGAAGTGGAACACAAACATCACAAAGCAGTTTCTGAGAATGCTTTCCTGTTTAGTTTTTCTGTGCAGTTGAACCCGTTTCCAACGAAATCTTCACAGAGGTCCACATATCCACTTGCAGAATCCAAAGAAAGAGAGTTTCAAAACTGCTCCATCAACAGGATTGTTCACCTCTGTGAGTTGAATGCAGTCATCACAGGAAACATTCTGAGAATGCTTCTGTCTAGGTTTGATGTGAAGATATACCCGTTTCGAAGGAAGGCCACAAAGTGGTAAAAATATCCACTTGCAGATCCTACAAAAAGAGTGTTTGATAGCTGAACTATGAAAGCAAGGTTCAACTCTGTGAGTTGAATGCAAACATCACAAAGAAGTTTCTCACAATGCTTCCGTGTAGTTCTGGGAAGTTTATCCCGTTTCCAACGAAATCCTCAGAGAGGTCCAAATATCCACTTGCAGATTCTACAGAAAGTGTGTTTGGAAACTGCGCCATCTAAAGGAATGTTCAGCTCTGTTAGTTCAATCCAATGATCACTAAGAATTGTCTGTGAATGCTTCCGTTTGGTTTTTAGATGAAGTTATTTCCTTTACTACAGTAGGCCTCAAAGCAATCCAAATCTCCAATCGCAGATTCTACAAAAACATTGTTTACAACCTGCTCTATCTATAGGAATGTTCAACTGCTGTGAGTCGAATGCAATCATCACAAAGTAGTTTGCTGAGAATGCTTCCATCTAGTTTTTATGTGAAGATTTTCCTTTTCCACCACAGGCCTCAAAGCCCTCCAAATGTCCACTTGCAGATTCTAGAATAAGAGGGTTTCAGAGCTGCTCTGTCAAGAGGAAAGTTCAATTCCTGAAGTGGAACACAATCGTCACAAAGCAGTTTCTGAGAATGCTTCTGTTTAGTTTTTCTGTGAAGATGAACCCGTTTCCAACGAAATCTTCACAGAGTTCCACATATCAACTTGCAGAATCCAAAGAAAGAGAGTTTCAAAACTGCTCTATCAACAGGATGGTTCACCTCTGTGAGTTGAATGCAGTCATCACAGGAAACATTCTGAGAATGCTTCTGTCTAAGTTTGATGTGAAGATATACCCGTTTCGAAGGAAGGACACAAAGTGGTCCAAATATCCACTTGCAGATTCTACAAAAAGAGTGTTTGAAAGCTGAACTATGAAAGCAAGGTTCAACTCTGTGAGTTGAATGCAAACATCACAAAGAAGTTTCTCAGAATGCTTCCGTGTAGTTCTGGGAAGTTTATCCCGTTTCCAACGAAATCCTCAGAGAAGTCCAAATATCCACTTGCAGATTCTACAGAAAGTGTGTTTGGAAACTGCTCCATCTAAAGGAATGTTCAGCTTTGTTAGTTCAATCCAATGATCACTAAGAATTGTCTGTGAATGCTTCCGTTTGGTTTTTAGATGAAGTTATTTCCTTTACTACAGTAGGCCTCAAAGCAGTCCAAATCTCCAATCGCAGATTCTACAAAAAGATTGTTTACAACCTGCTCTATCTATAGGAATGTTCAACTCTGTGAGTCGAAAGCCATCATCACAAAGTAGTTTCTGAGAATGCTTCCATCTAGTTTTTATGTGAAGATTTTCCTTTTCCACCACAGGCCTCAAAGCCCTCTAAATGTCCACTTGCAGATTCTAGAAAAAGAGGGTTTCAGAGCTGCTCTGTCAAGAGGAAAGTTCAATTCTTGAAGTGGAACACAAACATCACAGAGCAGTTTCTGAGAATGCTTCTGTTTAGTTTTTCTGTGAAGATGAACCCGTTTCCAACGAAATCTTCACAGAGGTCCACATATCCACTTGCAGAATCCAAAGAAAGAGAGTTTCAAAACTGCTCCATCAGCAGGATTGTTCACCTCTGTGAGTTGAATGCAGTCATCACAGGAAACATTCTGAGAATGCTTCTGTCTAGGTTTGATGTGAAGATATACCCGTTTCGAAGGAAGGCCACAAAGTGTTCCAAATATCCACTTGCAGATTCTACAAAAAGAGTGTTTGAAAGCTGAACTATGAAAGCAAGGTTCAACTCTGTGAGTTGAATGCAAACATCACAAAGAAGTTTCTCAGAATGCTTCCGTGTAGTTCTGGGAAGTTTATCCCGTTTCCAACGAAATGCTCAGAGAGGTCCAAATATCCGCTTGCAGATTCTACAGAAAGTGTGTTTGGAAACTGCGCCATCTAAAGGAATGTTCAGCTCTGTTAGTTCAATGCAATGATCACTAAGAATTGTCTGTGAATGCTTCCGTTTGGTTTTTAGATGAAGTTATTTAATTTACTACAGTAGGCCTCAAAGCAGTCCAAATCTCCAATCGCAGATTCTACAAAAAGATTGTTTACAACCTGCTCTATCTATAGGAATGTTCAACTCTGTGAGTCGAATGCAATCATCCCAAAGTAGTTTCTGAGAATGCTTCCATAAAGTTCTTATGTGAAGATTTTCCTTTTCCACCACAGGCCTCAAAGCCCTCCAAATGTCCACTTGCAGATTCTAGAAAAAGAGGGTTTCAGAGCTGCTCTGTCAAGAGGAAAGTTCAATTCTTGAAGTGGAACACAAACATCACAATGCAGTTTCTGAGAATGCTTCTGTTTAGTTTTTCTGTGAAGATGAACCCGTTTCCAACGAAATCTTCACAGAGGTCCACATATCCACTTGCAGAATCCAAAGAAAGAGAGTTTCAAAACTGCTCCATCAGCAGGATTGTTCACCTCTGTGAGTTGAATGCAGTCATCACAGGAAACATTCTGAGAATGCTTCTGTCTAGGTTTGATGTGAAGATATACCCGTTTCGAAGGAAGGCCACAAAGTGGTCCAAATATCCACTTGCAGATTCTACAAAAAGAGTGTTTGAAAGCTGAACTATGAAAGCAAGGTTCAACTCTGTGAGTTGAATGCAAACATCACAAAGAAGTTTCTCAGAATGCTTCCGTGTAGTTCTGGGAAGTTTATCCCGTTTCCAACGAAATCCTCTTAGAGGTCCAAATATCCACTTGCAGATTCTACAGAAAGTGGGTTTGGAAACTGCTCCATCTAAAGGAATGTTCAGCTCTGTTAGTTCAATCCAATGATCACTAAGAATTGTCTGTGAATGCTTCCGTTTGGTTTTTAGATGAAGTTATTTCCTTTACTACAGTAGACCTCAAAGCAGTCCAAATCTCCAATCGCAGATTCTACAAAAAGATTGTTTACAACCTGCTCTATCTATAGGAATGTTCAACTCTGTGAGTCGAATGCAATCATCACAAAGTAGTTTCTGAGAATGCTTCCATCTAGTTTTTATGTGAAGATTTTCCTTTTCCACCACAGGCCTCAAAGCCCTCCAAATGTCCACTTGCAGATTCTAGAATAAGAGGTTTTCAGAGCTGCTCTGTCAAGAGGAAAGTTCAATTCCTGAAGTGGAACAAAAACATCACAAAGCAGTTTCTGAGAATGCTTCTGTTTAGTTTTTCTGTGAAGATGAACCCGTTTCCAACGAAATCTTCACAGAGGTCCACATATCCACTTGCAGAATCCAAAGAAAGAGAGTTTCAAAACTGCTCCATCAGCAGGATTCTTCACCTCTGTGAGTTGAATGCAGTCATCACAGGAAACATTCTGAGAATGCTTCTGTCTAGGTTTGATGTGAAGATATACCCGTTTCGAAGGAAGGCCACAAAGTGGTCCAAATATCCACTTGCAGATTCTACAAAAAGAGTGTTTGAAAGCTGAACTATGAAAGCAAGGTTCAACTCTGTGAGTTGAATGCAAACATCACAAAGAAGTTTCTCAGAATGCTTCCGTGTAGTTCTGGGAAGTTTATCCCGTTTCCAACGAAATCCTCAGAGAAGTCCAAATATCCACTTGCAGATTCTACAGAAAGTGTGTTTGGAAACTGCTCCATCTAAAGGAATGTTCAGCTCTGTTAGTTCAATCCAATGATCACTAAGAATTGTCTGTGAATGCTTCCGTTTCGTTTTTAGATGAAGTTATTTCCTTTACTACAGTAGGCCTCAAAGCAGTCCAAATCTCCAATCGCAGATTCTACAAAAAGATTGTTTACAACCTGCTCTATCTATAGGAATGTTCAACTCTGTGAGTCGAATGCAATCATCACAAAGTAGTTTCTGAGAATGCTTCCATCTAGTTTTTATGTGAAGATTTTCCTTTTCCACCACAGGCCTCAAAGCCCTCCAAATGTCCACTTGCAGATTCTAGAAAAAGAGGGTTTCAGAGCTGCTGTGTCAAGAGGAAAGTTCAATTCTTGAAGTGGAACACAAACATCACAAAGTAGGTTCTGAGAATGCTCCTGTTTAGTTTTTCTGTGAAGATGAACCTGTTTCCAACGAAATCTTCACAGAGGTCCACATATCCACTTGCAGAATCCAAAGAAAGAGAGTTTCAAAACTGCTCCATCAGCAGGATTGTTCACCTCTGTGAGTTGAATGCAGTCATCACAGGAAACATTCTGAGAATGCTTCTGTCTAGGTTTGATGTGAAGATATACCCGTTTCGAAGGAAGGCCACAAAGTGGTCCAAATATCCACTTGCAGATTCTACAAAAAGAGTGTTTGAAAGCTGAACTATGAAAGCAAGGTTGAACTCTGTGAGTTGAATGCAAACATCACAAAGAAGTTTCTCACAATGCTCCGTATAGTTCTGGGAAGTTTATCCCGTTTCCAACGATATCCTCAGAGCAGGTCCAAATATCCACTTGCAGATTCTACAGAAAGTGTGTTTGGAAACTGCGCCATCTAAAGGAATGTTCAGCTCTGTTAGTTCAATGCAATGATCACTAAGGATTGTCTGTGAATGCTTCCGTTTGGTTTTTAGATGAAGTTATTTCCTTTAATACAGTAGGCCTCAAAGCAGTCCAAATCTCCAATCGCAGATTCTACAAAAAGATTGTTTACAACCTGCTCTATCTGTAGGAATGTTCAACTCTGTGAGTCGAATGCAATCATCACAAAGTAGTTTCTGAGAATGCTTCCATCTAGTTTTTATGTGAAGATTTTCCTTTTCCACCACAGGCCTCAAAGCCCTCCAAATGTCCACTTGCAGATTCTAGAAAAAGAGGGTTTCAGAGCTGCTCTGTCAAGAGGAAAGTTCAATTCTTGAAGTGGAACACAAACATCACAAAGCAGTTTCTGAGAATGCTCCTGTTTAGTTTTTCTGTGAAGATGAACCCGTTTCCAACGAAATCTTCACAGAGGTCCACATATCCACTTGCAGAATCCAAAGAAACAGAGTTTCAAAACTGCTCCATCAGCAGGATTGTTCACCTCTGTGAGTTGAATGCAGTCATCACAGGAAACATTCTGAGAATGCTTCTGTCTAGGTTTGATGTGAAGATATACCCGTTTCGAAGGAAGGCCACAAAGTGGTCCAAATATCCACTTGCAGATTCTACAAAAAGAGTGTTTGAAAGCTGAACTATGAAAGCAAGGTTCAACTCTGTGAGTTGAATGCAAACATCACAAAGAAGTTTCTCACAATGCTTCCGTGTAGTTCTGGGAAGTTTATCCCGTTTCCAACGAAATCCTCAGAGAGGTCCAAATATCCACTTGCAGATTCTACAGAAAGTGTGTTTGGAAACTGCGCCATCTAAAGAAATGTTCAGCTCTGTTAGTTCAATGCAATGATCACTAAGAATTGTCTGTGAATGCTTCCGTTTGGTTTTTAGATGAAGTTATTTCCTTTACTACAGTAGGCCTCAAAGCAGTCCAAATCTCCAATCGCAGATTCTACAAAAAGATTGTTTACAACCTGCTCTATGTATAGGAATGTTCAACTCTGTGAGTCGAATGCAATCATCACAAAGTAGTTTCTGAGAATGCTTCCATCTAGTTTTTATGTGAAGATTTTCCTTTTCCACCACAGGCCTCAAAGCCCTCCAAATGTCCACTTGCAGATTCTAGAAAAAGAGGGTTTCAGAGCTGCTCTGTCAAGAGGAAAGTTCAATTCTTGAAGTGGAACACAAACATCACAAAGCAGTTTCTGAGAATGCTCCTGTTTAGTTTTTCTGTGCAGTTGAACCCGTTTCCAACGAAATCTTCACAGAGGTCCACATATCCACTTGCAGAATCCAAAGAAAGAGAGTTTCAAAACTGCTCCATCAACAGGATTGTTCACCTCTGTGAGTTGAATGCAGTCATCACAGGAAACATTCTGAGAATGCTTCTGTCTAGGTTTGATGTGAAGATATACCCGTTTCGAAGGAAGGCCACAAAGTGGTCCAAATATCCACTTGCAGATTCTACAAAAAGAGTGTTTGAAAGCTGAACTATGAAAGCATGGTTCAACTCTGTGAGTTGAATGCAAACATCACAAAGATGTTTCTCAGCATGCTTCCGTGTAGTTCTGGGAAGTTTATCACATTTCCAACGAAATCCTCAGAGAGGTCCAAATATCCACTTGCAGATTCTTCATAAAGTCTGTTTGGAAACTGCGCCATCTAAAGGAATGTTCAGCTCTCTTAGTTCAATCCAATCATCACAAAGAATTTTACTGTGAATGCTTCCGTTTGGTTTTTAGATGAAGTTATTTCCTTTACTACAGTAGGCCTCAAAGCAGTCCAAATCTCCAATCGCAGATTCTACAAAAAGCTTGTTTACAACCTGCTCTATCTCTACGAATGTTCAACTCTGTGAGTCGAATGCAATCATCCCAAAGTAGTTTCTGAGAATGCTTCCATCTAGTTTTTATGTGAAGATTTTCCTTTTCCAACACAGGCCTCAAAGCCCTCCAAATGTCCACTTGCAGATTCTAGAAAAAGAGGGTTTCAGAGCTGCTCTGTCAAGAGGAAAGTTCAGTTCTTGAAGTGGAACACAAACATCACAAAGCAGTTTCTGAGAATGCTTCTGTTTAGTTTTTCTGTGAAGATGAACCCGTTTCCAACGAAATCTTCACAGAGGTCCACATATCCACTTGCAGAATCCAAAGAAAGAGAGTTTCAAAACTGCTCCATCAACAGGATTGTTCACCTCTGTGAGTTGAATGCAGTCATCACAGGAAACATTCTGAGAATGCTTCTGTCTAGGTTTGATGTGAAGATATACCCTTTTCGAAGGAAGGCCACAAAGTGGTCCAAATATCCACTTGCAGATTCTACAAAAAGAGTGTTTGAAAGCTGAACTATGAAAGCAAGGTGCAAATCCTGTGAGTTGAATGCAAACATCACAAAGAAGTTTCTCAGAATGCTTTCCGTGTAGTTCTGGGAAGTTTATCCCGTTTCCATCGAAATCCTCAGAGAAGTCCAAATATCCACTTGCAGATTCTACAGAAAGTGTGTTTGGAAACTGCTCCATCTAAAGGAGTGTTCAGCTCTGTTACTTCAATCCAATGATCACTAAGAATTGTCTGTGAATGCTTCCGTTTGGTTTTTAGATGAAGTTATTTCCTTTACTACAGTCGGCCTCAAAGCAGTCCAAATCTCCAATCGCAGATTCTACAAAAAGATTGTTTACAACCTGCTCTATCTATAGGAATGTTCAACTCTGTGAGTGGAATGCAATCATCACAGAGTAGTTTCTGAGAATGCTTCCATCTAGTTTTTATGGGAAGATTTTCCTTTTCCACCACAGGCCTCAAAGCCCTCCAAATGTCCACTTGCAGATTCTAGAAAAAGAGGGTTTCAGAGCTGCTCTGTCAAGAGGAAAGTTCAATTCTTGAAGTGGAACACAAACATCACAAAGCAGTTTCTGAGAATGCTCCTGTTTAGTTTTTCTGTGAAGATGAACCCGTTTCCAACGAAATCTTCACAGAGGTCCACATATCCACTTGCAGAATCCAAAGAAAGAGAGTTTCAAAACTGCTCCATCAGCAGGATTCTTCACCTCTGTGAGTTGAATGCAGTCATCACAGGAAACATTCTGAGAATGCTTCTGTCTAGGTTTGATGTGAAGATATACCCGTTTCGAAGGAAGGCCACAAAGTGGTCCAAATATCCACTTGCAGATTCTACAAAAAGAGTGTTTGAAAGCTGAAGTATGAAAGCAAGGTTCAACTCTGTGAGTTGAATGCAAACATCACAAAGAAGTTTCTCAGAATGCTTCCGTGTAGTTCTGGGAAGTTTATCCCGTTTCCAACGAAATCCTCAGAGAAGTCCAAATATCCACTTGCAGATTCTACAGAAAGTGGGTTTGGAAACTGCTCCATCTAAAGGAATGTTCAGCTCTGTTAGTTCAATCCAATGATCACTAAGAATTGTCTGTGAATGCTTCCGTTTGGTTTTTAGATGAAGTTATTTCCTTTACTACAGTAGGCCTCAAAGCAGTCCAAATCTCCAATCGCAGATTCTACAAAAAGATTGTTTACAACCTGCTCTATCTATAGGAATGTTCAACTCTGTGAGTCGAATGCAATCATCACAAAGTAGTTTCTGAGAATGCTTCCATCTAGTTTTTATGTGAAGATTTTCCTTTTCCACCACAGGCCTCAAAGCCCTCCAAATGTCCACTTGCAGATTCTAGAAAAAGAGGGTTTCAGAGCTGCTCTGTCAAGAGGAAAGTTCAATTCCTGAAGTGGAACACAAACATCACAAAGCAGTTTCTGAGAATGCTTCTGTTTAGTTTTTCTGTGAAGATGAACCCGTTTCCAACGAAATCTTCACAGAGGTCCACATATCAACTTGCAGAATCCAAAGAAAGAGAGTTTCAAAAGTGCTCCATCAGCAGGATTGTTCATCTCTGTGAGTTGAATGCAGTCATCACAGGAAACATTCTGAGAATGCTTCTGTCTAGGTTTGATGTGAAGATATACCCGTTTCGAAGGAAGGCCACAAAGTGGTCCAAATATCCACTTGCAGATTCTACAAAAAGAGTGTTTGAAAGCTGAACTATGAAAGCAAGGTTCAACTCTGTGAGTTGAATGCAAACATCACAAAGAAGTTTCTCAGAATGCTTCCGTGTAGTTCTGGGAAGTTTATCCCGTTTCCAACGAAATCCTCAGAGAGGTCCAAATATCCACTTGCAGATTCTACAGAAAGTGTGTTTGGAAACTGCGCCATCTAAAGGAATGTTCAGCTCTGTTAGTTCAATCCAATGATCACTAAGAATTGTCTGTGAATGCTTCCGTTTGGTTTTTAGATGAAGTTATTTCCTTTACTACAGTAGGCCTCAAAGCAGTCCAAATCTCCAATCGCAGATTCTACAAAAACATTGTTTACAACCTGCTCTATCTATAGGAATGTTCAACTCTGTGAGTCGAATGCAATCATCACAAAGTAGTTTCTGAGAATGCTTCCATCTAGTTTTTATGTGAAGATTTTCCTTTTCCACCACAGGCCTCAAAGCCCTCCAAATGTCCACTTGCAGATTCTAGAAATAGAGGGTTTCAGAGCTGCTCTGTCAAGAGGAAAGTTCAATTCTCGAAGTGGAACACAAACATCACAAAGCAGTTTCTGAGAATGCTTCTGTTTAGTTTTTCTGTGAAGATGAACCCGTTTCCAACGAAATCTTCACAGAGGTCCACATATCCACTTGCAGAATCCAAAGAAAGAGAGTTTCAAAACTAGTCCATCAACAGGATTGTTCACCTCTGTGAGTTGAATGCAGTCATCACAGGAAACATTCTGAGAATGCTTTTGTATAGGTTTGATGTGAAGATATACCCGTTTCGAAGGAAGGCCACAAAGTGGTCCAAATATCCACTTGCAGATTCTACAAAAAGAGTGTTTGAAAGCTGAACTATGAAAGCAAGGTTCAACTCTGTGAGTTGAATGCAAACATCACAAAGAAGTTTCTCACAATGCTTCCGTGTAGTTCTGGGAAGTTTATCCCGTTTCCAACGAAATCCTCAGAGAGGTCCAAATATCCACTTGCAGATTCTACAGAAAGTGTGTTTGGAAACTACGCCATCTAAAGGAATGTTCAGCTCTGTTAGATCAATGCAATGATCACTAAGAATTGTCTGTGAATGCTTCCGTTTGGTTTTTAGATGAAGTAATTTCCTTTACTACAGTAGGCCTCAAAGCAGTCCAAATCTCCAATCGCAGATTCTACAAAAAGATTGTTTACAACCTGCTCTATCTATAGGAATGTTCAACTCTGTGAGTCGAATGCAATCATCACAAAGTAGTTTCTGAGAATGCTTCCATCTAGTTTTTATGTGAAGATTTTCCTTTTTCACCACAGGCCTCAAAGCCCTCCAAATGTCCACTTGCAGATTCTAGAAAAAGAGGGTTTCAGAGCTGCTCTGTCAAGAGGAAAGTTCAATTCTTGAAGTGGAACACAAACATCACAAAGCAGTTTCTGAGAATGCTCCTGTTTAGTTTTCTGTGAAGATGAACCCGTTTCCAACGAAATCTTCACAGAGGTCCACATATCCACTTGCAGAATCCAAAGAAAGAGAGTTTCAAAACTGCTCCATCAGCAGGATTGTTCACCTCTGTGAGTTGAATGCAGTCATCACAGGAAACATTCTGAGAATGCTTCTGTCTAGGTTTGATGTGAAGATATACCCGTTTCGAAGGAAGGCCACAAAGTGGTCCAAATATCCACTTGCAGATTCTACAAAAAGAGTGTTTGAAAGCTGAACTATGAAAGCAAGGTTCAACTCTGTGAGTTGAATGCAAACATCACAAAGAAGTTTCTCAGAATGCTTCCGTGTAGTTCTGGGAATTTTATCCCTTTTCCAACGAAATCCTCAGAGAGGTCCAAATATCCACTTGCAGATTCTACAGAAAGTGTGTTTGGAAACTGCGCCATCGAAAGGAATGTTCAGCTCTGTTAGTTCAATGCAATGATCACTAAGAATTGTCTGTGAATGCTTCCGTTTGGTTTTTAGATGAAGTTATTTCCTTTACTACAGTAGGCCTCAAAGCAGTCCAAATCTCCAATCGCAGGTTCTACAAAAAGATTGTTTACAACCTGCTCTATCTATAGGAATGTTCAACTCTGTGAGTCGAATGCAATCATCACAAAGTAGTTTCTGAGAATGCTTCCATCTAGTTTTTATGTGAAGAGTTTCCTTTTCCACCACAGGCCTCAAAGCCCTCCAAATGTCCACTTGCAGATTCTAGAAAAAGAGGGTTTCAGAGCTGCTCTGTCAAGAGGAAAGTTCAATTGTTGAAGTGGAACACAAACATCACAAAGCAGTTTCTGAGAATGCTTCTGTTTAGTTTTTCTGTGAAGATGAACCCGTTTCCAACGAAATCTTCACAGAGGTCCACATATCCACTTGCAGAATCCAAAGAAAGAGAGTTTCAAAACTGCTCCATCAGCAGGATTGTTCACCTCTGTGAGTTGAATGCAGTCATCACAGGAAACATTCTGAGAATGCTTCTGTCTAGGTTTGATGTGAAGATATACCCGTTTCGAAGGAAGGCCACAAAGTGGTCCAAATATCCACTTGCAGATTCTACAAAAAGAGTGTTTGAAAGCTGAACTATGAAAGCAAGGTTCAACTCTGTGAGTTGAATGCAAACATCACAAAGAAGTTTCTCAGAATGCTTCCGTGTAGTTCTGGGAAGTTTATCCCGTTTCCAACGAAATCCTCAGAGAAGTCCAAATATCCACTTGCAGATTCTACAGAAAGTGTGTTTGGAAACTGCTCCATCTAAAGGAATGTTCAGCTCTGTTAGTTCAATCCAATGATCACTAAGAATTGTCTGTGAATGCTTCCGTTTGGTTTTTAGATGAAGTTATTTCCTTTACTACAGTAGGCCTCAAAGCAGTCCAAATCTCCAATCGCAGATTCTACAAAAAGATTGTTTACAACCTGCTCTATCTATAGGAATGTTCAACTCTGTGAGTCGAATGCAATCATCACAAAGTAGTTTCTGAGAATGCTTCCATCTAGTTTTTATGTGAAGATTTTCCTTTTACACCACAGGCCTCAAAGCCCTCCAAATGTCCACTTGCAGATTCTAGAAAAAGAGGGTTTCAGAGCTGCTCTGTCAAGAGGAAAGTTCAATTCTTGAAGTGGAACACAAACATCACAAAGCAGTTTCTGAGAATGCTTCTGTTTAGTTTTTCTGTGAAGATGAACCCGTTTCCAACGAAATCTTCACAGAGGTCCACATATCCACTTGCAGAATCCAAAGAAAGAGAGTTTCAAAACTGCTCCATCAGCAGGATTGTTCACCTCTGTGAGTTGAATGCAGTCATCACAGGAAACATTCTGAGAATGCTTCTGTCTAGGTTTGATGTGAAGATATACCCGTTTCGAAGGAAGGCCACAAAGTGGTCCAAATATCCACTTGCAGATTCTACAAAAAGAGTGTTTGAAAGCTGAACTATGAAAGCAAGGTTCAACTCTGTGAGTGGAATGCAAACATCACAAAGAAGTTTCTCAGCATGCTTCCGTGTAGTTCTGGGAAGTATATCCCGTTTCCAACGAAATCCTCAGAGAAGTCCAAATATCCACTTGCAGATTCTACAGAAAGTGTGTTTGGAAAATGCTCCATCTAAAGGAATGTTCAGCTCTGTTAGTTCAATGCAATGATCACTAAGAATTGTCTGTGAATGCTTCCGTTTGGTTTTTAGATGAAGTTATTTCCTTAACTACAGTAGGCCTCAAAGCAGTCCAAATCTCCAATCGCAGATTCTACAAAAAGATTGTTTACAACCTGCTCTATATATAGGAATGTTCAACTCTGTGAGTCGAATGCAATCATCACAAAGTAGTTTCTGAGAATGCTTCCATCTAGTTTTTATGTGAAGATTTTCCTTTTCCACCACAGGCCTCAAAGCCCTCCAAATGTCCACTTGCAGATTCTAGAAAAAGAGGGTTTCAGAGCTGCTCTGTCAAGAGGAAAGTTCAATTCTTGAAGTGGAACACAAACATCACAAAGCAGTTTCTGAGAATGCTTCCTGTTTAGTTTTTCTGTGAAGATGAACCCGTTTCCAACGAAATCTTCACAGAGGTCCACATATCAACTAGCAGAATCCAAAGAAAGAGAGTTTCAAAAGTGCTCCATCAACAGGATTGTTCACCTCTGTGAGTTGAATGCAGTCATCACAGGAAACATTCTGAGAATGCTTCTGTCTAGGTTTGATGTGAAGATATACCCGTTTCGAAGGAAGGCCACAAAGTGGTCCAAATATCCACTTGCAGATTCTACAAAAAGAGTGTTTGAAAGCTGAACTATGAAAGCAAGGTTCAACTCTGTGAGTTGAATGCAAACATCACAAAGAAGTTTCTCAGAATGCTTCCGTGTAGTTCTGGGAAATTTAGCCCGTTTCCAACGAAATCCTCAGAGAGGTCCAAATATCCACTTGCAGATTCTACAGAAAGTGTGTTTGGAAACTGCGCCATCTAAAGGAATGTTCAGCTCTGTTAGTTCAATGCAATGATCACTAAGAATTGTCTGTGAATGCTTCCGTTTAGTTTTTAGATGAAGTTATTTCCTTTACTACAGTAGGCCTCAAAGCAGTCCAAATCTCCAATCGCAGATTCTGCAAAAAGATTGTTTACAACCTGCTCTATCTATAGGAATATTCAACTCTGTGAGTCGAGTGCAATCATCACAAAGTAGTTTCTGAGAATGCTTCCATAAAGTTTTTATGTGAAGATTTTCCTTTTCCACCACAGGCCTCAAAGCCCTCCAAATGTCCACTTGCAGATTCTAGAAAAAGAGGGTTTCAGAGCTGCTCTGTCAAGAGGAAAGTTCAATTCTTTAAGTGGAACACAAACATCACAAAGCAGTGTCTGAGAATGCTTCTGTTTAGTTTTTCTGTGAAGATGAACCCGTTTCCAACGAAATCTTCACAGAGGTCCACATATCCACTTGCAGAATCCAAAGAAAGAGAGTTTCAAAACTGCTCCATCAGCAGGATTGTTCACCTCTGTGAGTTGAATGCAGTCATCACAGGAAACATTCTGAGAATGCTTCTGTCTAGGTTTGATGTGAAGATATACCCGTTTCGAAGGAAGGCCAGAAAGTGGTCCAAATATCCACTTGCAGATTCTACAAAAAGAGTGTTTGAAAGCTGAACTATGAAAGCAAGGTTCAACTCTGTGAGTTGAATGCAAACATCACAAAGAAGTTTCTCAGAATGCTTCCGTGTAGTTCTGGGAAGTTTATCCCGTTTCCAACGAAATCCTCAGAGAGGTCCAAATATCCACTTGCAGATTCTACAGAAAGTGTGTTTGGAAACTGCGCCATCTAAAGGAATGTTCAGCTCTGTTAGTTCAATCCAATGATCACTAAGAATTGTCTGTGAATACTTCCGTTTGGTTTTTAGATGAAGTTATTTCCTTTACTACAGTAGGCCTCAAAGCAGTCCAAATCTCCAATCGCAGATTCTACAAAAAGATTGTTTACAACCTGCTCTATGTATAGGAATGTTCAACTCTGTGAGTCGAATGCAATCATCACAAAGTAGTTTCTGAGAATGCTTCCATCTAGTTTTTATGGGAAGATTTTCCTTTTCCACCACAGGCCTCAAAGCCCTCCAAATGTCCACTTGCAGATTCTAGAAAAAGAGGGTTTCAGAGCTGCTCTGTCAAAAGGAAAGTTCAATTCTTCAAGTGGAACACAAACATCACAAAGCAGTTTCTGAGAATGCTCCTGTTTAGTTTTTCTGTGAAGATGAACCCGTTTCCAACGAAATCTTCACAGAGGTCCACATATCCACTTGCAGAATCCAAAGAAAGAGAGTTTCAAAACTGCTCCATCAGCAGGATTGTTCACCTCTGTGAGTTGAATGCAGTCATCACAGGAAACATTCCGAGAATGCTTCTGTCTAGGTTTGATGTGAAGATATACCCGTTTCGAAGGAAGGCCACAAAGTGGTCCAAATATCCACTTGCAGATTCTACAAAAAGAGTGTTTGAAAGCTGAACTATGAAAGCAAGGTTCAACTCTGTGAGTTGAATGCAAACATCACAAAGAAGTTTCTCACAATGCTTCCGTGTAGTTCTGGGAAGTTTATCCCGTTTCCAACGAAATCCTCAGAGAAGTCCAAATATCCACTTGCAGATTCTACAGAAAGTGGGTTTGGAAACTGCGCCATCTAAAGGAATGTTCAGCTCTGTTAGTTCAATCCAATAGATCACTAAGAATTGTCTGTGAATGCTTCCGTTTGGTTTTTAGATGAAGTTATTACCTTTACTACAGTAGGCCTCAAAGCAGTCCAAATCTCCAATCGCAGATTCTACAAAAAGATTGTTTACAACCTGCTCTATCTATAGGAATGTTCAACTCTGTGAGTCGAATGCAATCATCACAAAGTAGTTTCTGAGAATGCTTCCATCTAGTTTTTATGTGAAGATTTTCCTTTTCCACAACAGGCCTCAAAGCCCTCCAAATGTCCACTTGCAGATTCCAGAAAAAGAGGGTTTCAGAGCTGCTCTCTCAAGAGGAAAGTTCAATTCTTTAAGTGGAACACAAACATCACAAAGCAGTTTCTGAGAATGCTCCTGTTTAGTTTTTCTGTGAAGATGAACCCGTTTCCAACGAAATCTTCACAGAGGTCCACATATCCACTTGCAGAATCCAAAGAAAGAGAGTTTCAAAACTGCTCCATCAGCAGGATTGTTCACCTCTGTGAGTTGAATGCAGTCATCACAGGAAACATTCTGAGAATGCTTCTGTCTAGGTTTGATGTGAAGATATACCCGTTTCGAAGGAAGGCCTCAAAGTGGTCCAAATATCCACTTGCAGATTCTACAAAAAGAGTGTTTGAAAGCTGAACTATGAAAGCAAGGTTCAACTTTGTGAGTTGAATGCAAACATCACAAAGAAGTTTCTCAGAATGCTTCCGTGTAGTTCTGGGAAGTTTATCCCGTTTCCAACGAAATCCTCAGAGAGGTCCAAATATCCACTTGCAGATTCTACAGAAAGTGTGTTTGGAAACTGCGCCATCTAAAGGAATGTTCAGCTCTGTTAGTTCAATGCAATGATCACTAAGAATTGTCTGTGAATGCTTCCGTTCGGTTTTTAGATGAAGTTATTTCCTTTACTACAGTAGGCCTCAAAGCAGTCCAAATCTCCAATCGCAGATTCTACAAAAAGATTGTTTACAACCTGCTCTATCTATAGGAATGTTCAACGCTGTGAGTCGAATGCAATCATCACAAAGTAGTTTCTGAGAATGCTTCCATCTAGTTTTTATGTGAAGATTTTCCTTTTCCACCACAGGCCTCAAAGCCCTCCAAATGTCCACTTGCAGATTCTAGAATAAGAGGGTTTCAGAGCTGCTCTGTCAAGAGGAAACTTCAATTCTTGAAGTGGAACACAAACATCACAAAGCAGTTTCTGAGAATGCTTCTTTTCAGTTTTTCTGTGAAGATGAACCCGTTTCCAACGAAATCTTCACAGAGGTCCACATATCCACTTGCAGAATCCAAAGAAAGAGAGTTTCAAAACTGCTCCATCAGCAGGATTGTTCACCTCTGTGGGTTGAATGCAGTCATCACAGGAAATATTCTGAGAATGCTTCTGTCTAGGTTTGATGTGAAGATATACCCGTTTCGAAGGAAGGCCACAAAGTGGTCCAAATATCCACTTGCAGATTCTACAAAAAGAGTGTTTGAAAGCTGAACTATGAAAGCAAGGTTCAACTCTGTGAGTTGAATGCAAACATCACAAAGAAGTTTCTCACGAATGTCCGTGTAGTTCTGGGAAGTTTATCCCGTTTCCAACGAAATCCTCAGAGAAGTCCAAATATCCACTTGCAGATTCTGCAGAAAGTGTGTTTGGAAACTGCTCCATCTAAAGGAATGTTCAGCTCTGTTAGTTCAATCCAATGATCACTAAGAATTGTCTGTGAATGCTTCCGTTTGGTTTTTAGATGAAGTTATTTCCTTTACTACAGTAGGCCTCAAAGCAGTCCAAATCTCCAATCGCAGATTCTACAAAAAGATTGTATACAACCTGCTCTATCTATACGAATGTTCAACTCTGTGAGTCGAATGCAATCATCACAAAGCAGTTTCTGAGAATGCTTCCATCTAGTTTTTATGTGAAGATTTTCCTTTTCCACCACAGGCCTCAAAGCCCTCCAAATGTCCACTTGCAGATTCTAGAATAAGAGGGTTTCAGAGCTGCTCTGTCAAGAGGAAAGTTCAATTCCTGAAGTGGAACACAAACATCACAAAGCAGTTTCTGAGAATGCTCCTGTTTAGTTTTTCTGTGAAGATGAACCCGTTTCCAACGAAATCTTCACAGAGGTCCACATATCCACTTGCAGAATCCAAAGAAAGAGAGTTTCAAAACTGCTCCATCAGCAGGATTGTTCACCTCTGTGAGTTGAATGCAGTCATCACAGGAAACATTCTGAGAATGCTTCTGTCTAGGTTTGATGTGAAGATATACCCGTTTTGAAGGAAGGCCACAAAGTGGTCCAAATATCCACTTGCAGATTCTACAAAAAGAGTGTTTGAAAGCTGAACTATGAAAGCAAGGTTCAACTCTGTGAGTTGAATGCAAACATCACAAAGAAGTTTCTCAGAATGCTTCCGTGTAGTTCTGGGAAGTTTATCCCGTTTCCAACGAAATCCTCAGAGAAGTCCAAATATCCACTTGCAGATTCTACAGAAAGTGTGTTTGGAAACTGCGCCATCTAAAGGAATGTTCAGCTCTGTTAGTTCAATGCAATGATCACTAAGAATTGTCTGTGAATGCTTCCCGTTTGGTTTTTAGATGAAGTTTTTTCCTTTACTACAGTAGGCCCCAAAGCACTCCAAATCTCCAATCGCAGATTCTACAAAAAGATTGTTTACAACCTGCTCTACCTATAGGAATGTTCAACTCTGTGAGTCGAATGCAATCATCACAAAGTAGTTTCTGAGAATGCTTCCATCTAGTTTTTATGTGAAGATTTTCCTTTTCCACCACAGGCCTCAAAGCCCTCCAAATGTGCACTTGCAGATTCTAGAATAAGAGGATTTCAGAGCTGCTCTGTCAAGAGGAAAGTTCAATTCCTGAAGTGGAACACAAACATCACAAAGCAGTTTCTGAGAATGCTTCTGTTTAGTTTCTCTGTGAAGATGAACCCGTTTCCAACGAAATCTTCACAGAGGTCCACATATCCACTTGCAGAATCCAAAGAAAGAGAGTTTCAAAACTGCTCCATCAGCAGGATTGTTCACCTCTGTGAGTTGAATGCAGTCATCACAGGAAACATTCTGAGAATGCTTCTGTCTAGGTTTGATGTGAAGATATACCCGTTTCGAAGGAAGGCCACAAAGTGGTCCAAATATCCACTTGCAGATTCTACAAAAAGAGTGTTTGAAAGCTGAACTATGAAAGCAAGGTTCAACTCTGTGAGTTGAATGCAAACATCACAAAGAAGTTTCTCAGAATGCTTCCGTGTAGTTCTGGGAAGTTTATCCCGTTTCCAACGAAATCCTCAGAGAGGTCCAAATATCCACTTGCAGATTCTACAGAAAGTGTGTTTGGAAACTGCTCCATCTAAAGGAATGTTCAGCTCTGTTAGTTCAATCCAATGATCACTAAGAATTGTCTGTGAATGCTTCCGTTTGGTTTTTAGATGAAGTTATTTCCTTTACTACAGTAGGCCTCAAAGCAGTCCAAATCTCCAATCGCATATTCTACAAAAAGATTGTTTACAACCTGCTCTATCTATAGGAATGCTCAACTCTGTGAGTCGAATGCAATCATCACAAAGTAGTTTCTGAGAATGCTTCCATCTAGTTTTTATGTGAAGATTTTCCTTTTCCACCACAGGCCTCAAAGCCCTCCAAATGTCCACTTGCAGATTCTAGAAAAAGAGGGTTTCAGAGCTGCTCTGTCAAGAGGAAAGTTCAATTCTTGAAGTGGAACACAAACATCACAAAGCAGTTTCTGAGAATGCTTCTGTTTAGTTTTTCTGTGAAGATGAACCCGTTTCCAACGAAATCTTCACAGAGGACCACATATTCACTTGCAGAATCCAAAGAAGGAGAGTTTCAAAAGTGCTCCATCAGCAGGATTGTTCACCTCTGTGAGTTGAATGCAGTCATCACAGGAAACATTCTGAGAATGCTTCTGTCTAGGTTTGATGTGAAGATATACCCGTTTCGAAGGAAGGCCACAAAGTGGTCCAAATATCCACTTGCAGATTCTACAAAAAGAGTGTTTGAAAGCTGAACTATGAAAGCAAGGTTCAACTCTGTGAGTTGAATGCAAACATCACAAAGAAGTTTCTCACAATGCTTCCGTGTAGTTCTGGGAAGTTTAGCCCGTTTCCAAAGAAATCCTCAGAGAGGTCCAAATATCCACTTGCAGATTCTACAGAAAGTGTGTTTGGAAACTGCTCCATCTAAAGGAATGTTCAGCTCTGTTAGTTCAATCCAATGATCACTAAGAATTGTCTGTGAATGCTTCCGTTTGGTTTTTAGATGAAGTTATTTCCTTTACTACAGTAGGCCTCAAAGCAGTCCAAATCTCCAATCGCAGATTCTACAAAAACATTGTTTACAACCTGCTCTATCTATAGGAATGTTCAACTCTGTGAGTCGAATGCAATCATCACAAAGTAGTTTCTGAGAATGCTTCCATCTAGTTTTTATGTGAAGATTTTCCTTTTCCACCACAGGCCTCAAAGCCCTCCAAATGTCCACTTGCAGATTCTAGAAAAAGAGGGTTTCAGAGCTGCTCTGTCAAGAGGAAAGTTCAATTCTTGAAGTGGAACAGAAACATCACAAAGCAGTTTCTGGGAATGCTCCTGTTTAGTTTTTCTGTGAAGATGAACCCGTTTCCAACGAAATCTTCACAGAGGTCCACATATCCACTTGCAGAATCCAAAGAAAGAGAGTTTCAAAACTTCTCCATCAGAAGGATTGTTCACCTCTGTGAGTTGAATGCAGTCATCACAGGAAACATTCTGAGAATGCTTCTGTCTAGCTTTGATGGGAAGATATACCCGTTTCGAAGGAAGGCCACAAAGTGGTCCAAATATCCACTTGCAGATTCTACAAAAAGAGTGTTTGAAAGCTGAACTATGAAAGCAAGGTTCAACTCTGTGAGTTGAATGCAAACATCCAAAGAAGTTTCTCAGAATGCTTCCGTGTAGTTCTGGGAAGTTTATCCCGTTTCCAACGAAATCCTCAGAGAAGTCCAAATATCCACTTGCAGATTCTACAGAAAGTGTGTTTGGAAACTGCGCCATCTAAAGGAATGTTCAGCTCTGTTAGTTCAATCCAATGATCACTAAGAATTGTCTGTGAATGCTTCCGTTTGGTTTTTAGATGAAGTTATTTCCTTTACTACAGTAGGCCTCAAAGCAGTCCAAATCTCCAATCGCAGATTCTACAAAAACATTGTTTACAACCTGCTCTATCTATAGGAATGTTCAACTCTGTGAGTCGAATGCAATCATCACAAAGTAGTTTCTGAGAATGCTTCCATCTAGTTTTTATGTGAAGAGTTTCCTTTTCCACCACAGGCCTCAAAGCCCTCCAAATGTCCACTTGCAGATTCTAGAAAAAGAGGGTTTCAGAGCTGCTCTGTCAAGAGGAAAGTTCAATTCCTGAAGTGGACCACAAACATCACAAAGCAGTTTCTGAGAATGCTTCTGTTTAGTTTTTCTGTGAAGATGAACCCGTTTCCAACGAAATCTTCACAGAGGTCCACATATCCACTTGCAGAATCCAAAGAAAGAGAGTTTCAAAACTGCTCCATCAACAGGATTGTTCACCTCTGTGAGTTGAATGCAGTCATCACAGGAAACATTCTGAGAATGCTTCTGTCTAGGTTTGATGTGAAGATATACCCGTTTCGAAGGAAGGCCACAAAGTGGTCCAAATATCCAGTTGCAGATTCTACAAAAAGAGTGTTTGAAAGCTGAACTATGAAAGCAAGGTTCAACTCTGTGAGTTGAATGAAAACATCACAAAGAAGTTTCTCACAATGCTTCCCTGTAGTTCTGGGAAGCATATCCCGTTTCCAACGAAATCCTCAGAGAGGTCCAAATATCCACTTGCAGATTCTACAGAAAGTGTGTTTGGAAACTGCTCCATCTAAAGGAATGTTCAGCTCTGTTAGTTCAATGCAATGATCATTAAGAATTGTCTGTGAATGCTTGCGTTTGGTTTTTAGATGAAGTTATTTCCTTTACTACAGTAGGCCTCAAAGCAGTCCAAATCTCCAATCGCAGATTCTACAAAAAGATTGTTTACAACCTGCTCTATCTATAGGAATGTTCAACTCTGTGAGTCGAATGCAATCATCACAAAGTAGTTTCTGAGAATGCTTCCATCTAGTTTTTATGTGAAGATTTTCGTTTTCCACACAGGCCTCAAAGCCCTCCAAATGTCCACTTGCAGAATCTAGAAAAAGAGGGTTTCAGAGCTGCTCTGTCAAGAGGAAAGTTCAATTCTTGAAGTGGAACACAAACATCACAAAGCAGTTTCTGAGAATGCTTCTGTTATTTTTTATGTGAAGATGAACACTTTTCCAACGAAATCTTCAAAGAGGTCCACATATCCACTTGCAGAATCCAAAGAAAGGGAGCTTCAAAACTGCTCCATCAACAGGATTTTTCACCTCTGTGAGTTGAATGCAGTCATCGCAGGAAACATTCTGAGAATGCTTCTGTCTAGGTTTGATGTGAAGATATACCCGTTTCGAAGGAAGGCCACAAAGTGGTCCAAATATCCACTTGCAGATTCTACAAAAAGAGTGTTTGAAAGCTGAACTATGAAAGCAAGGTTCAACTCTGTGAGTTGAATGCAAACATCACAAAGAAGTTTCTCAGAATGCTTCCGTGTAGTTCTGGGAAATTTATCCCGTTTCCAACGAAATCCTCAGAGAGGTCCAAATATCCACTTGCAGATTCTACAGAAAGTGTGTTTGGAAACTGCTCCATCTAAAGGAATGTTCAGCTCTGTTAGTTCATTCCAATGATCACTAAGAATTGTCTGTGAATGCTTCCCGTTTGGTTTTTAGATGAAGTTATTTCCTTTACTACAGTAGGCCTCAAAGCAGTCGAAATCTCCAATCGCAGATTCTACAAAAAGATTGTTTACAACCTGCTCTATCTATAGGAATGTTCAACTCTGTGAGTCGAATGCAATCATCACAAAGTAGTTTGTGAGAATGCTTCCATCTAGTTTTTATGTGAAGATTTTCCTTTTGCACCACAGGCCTCAAAGCCCTCCAAATGTCCACTTGCAGATTCTAGAAAAAGAGGGTTTCAGAGCTGCTCTGTCAAGAGGAAAGTTCAATTCTTGAAGTGGAACACAAACATCACAAAGTAGTTTCTGAGAATGCTTCTGTTTAGTTTTTCTGTGAAGATGAACCCGTTTCCAATGAAATCTTCACAGAGGTCCACATATCCACTTGCAGAATCCAAAGAAAGAGAGTTTCAAAACTGCTCCAACAGCAGGATTGTTCACCTCTGTGAGTTGAATGCAGTCATCACAGGAAACATTCTGAGAATGCTTCTGTCTAGGTTTGATGTGAAGATATACCCTTTTCAAAGGAAGGCCACAAAGTGGTCCAAATATCCACTTGCAGATTCTACAAAAAGAGTGTTTGAAAGCTGAACTATGAAAGCAAGGTTCAACTCTGTGAGTTGAATGCAAACATCACAAAGAAGTTTCTCACAATGCTTCCTGTGTAGTTCTGGGAAGTTTATCCCGTTTCCAACGAAATCCTCAGAGAGGTCCAAATATCCACTTGCAGATTTTACAGAAAGTGTGTTTGGAAACTACGCCATCTAAAGGAATGTTCAGCTCTGTTAGATCAATGCAATGATCACTAAGAATTGTCTGTGAATGCTTCCGTTTGGTTTTTAGATGAAGTTATTTCCTTTACTACAGTAGGCCTCAAAGCAGTCCAAATCTCCAATCGCAGATTCTACAAAAAGATTGTTTACAACCTGCTCTATCTATAGGAATGTTCAACTCTGTGAGTCGAATGCAATCATCACAAAGTAGTTTCTGAGAATGCTTCCATCTAGTTTTTATGTGAAGATTTTCCTTTTCCACCACAGGCCTCAAAGCCCTCCAAATGTCCACTTGCAGATTCTAGAATAAGAGGGTTTCAGAGCTGCTCTGTCAAGAGGAAAGTTCAATTCCTGAAGTGGAACACAAACATCACAAAGCAGTTTCCGAGAATGCTTCCTCTGTTTAGTTTTTCTGTGAAGATGAACCCGTTTCCAACGAAACCTTCACAGAGGTCCACATATCCACTTTCAGAATCCAAAGAAGGAGAGTTTCAAAACTGCTCCATCAGCAGGATTGTTCACGTCTGTGAGTTGAATGCAGTCATCACAGGAAACATTCTGAGAATGCTTCTGTCTAGGTTTGATGTGAAGATATACCCGTTTCGAAGGAAGGCCACAAAGTGGTCCAAATATCCACTTGCAGATTCTACAAAAAGAGTGTTTGAAAGCTGAACTATGAAAGCAAGGTTCAACTCTGTGAGTTGAATGCAAACATGACAAAGAAGTTTCTCAGAATGCTTCCGTGTAGTTCTGGGAAGTTTATCCCCTTTCCAACGAAATCCTCAGAGAGGTCCAAATATCCACTTGCAGATTCTACAGAAAGTGTGTTTTTTAAACTGCGCCATCTAAAGGAATGTTCAGCTCTGTTAGTTCAATCCAATGATCACTAAGAATTGTCTGTGAATGCTTCCGTTTGGTTTTTAGATGAAGTTATTTCCTTTACTACAGTAGGCCTCAAAGCAGTCCAAATCTCCAATCGCAGATTCTACAAAAAGATTGTTTACAACCTGCTCTATCTATAGGAATGTTCAACTCTGTGAGTCGAAAGCCATCATCACAAAGTAGTTTCTGAGAATGCTTCCATCTAGTTTTTATGTGAAGATTTTCCTTTTCCACCACAGGCCTCAAAGCCCTCCAAATGTCCACTTGCAGATTCTAGAATAAGAGGGTTTTAGAGCTGCTCTGTCAAGAGGAAAGTTCAATTCCTGAAGTGGAACACAAACATCACAAAGCAGTTTCTGAGAATGCTTCTGTTTAGTTTTTCTGTGAAGATGAACCCTTTTCCAACGAAATCTTCACAGAGGTCCACATATCCACTTGCAGAATCCAAAGAAAGAGAGTTTCAAAACTGCTCCATCAGCAGGATTCTTCACCTCTGTGAGTTGAATGCAGTCATCACAGGAAACATTCTGAGAATGCTTCTGTCTAGGTTTGATGTGAAGATATACCCCTTTCGAAGGAAGGCCACAAAGTGGTCCAAATATCCACTTGCAGATTCTACAAAAAGAGTGTTTGAAAGCTGAACTATGAAAGCAAGGTTCAACTCTGTGAGTTGAATGCAAACATCACAAAGAAGTTTCTCAGAATGCTTCCGTGTAGTTCTGGGAATTTTATCCCGTTTCCAACGAAATCCTCAGAGAGGTCCAAATATCCACTTGCAGATTCTACAGAAAGTGTGTTTGGAAACTGCTCCATCTAAAGCAATGTTCAGCTCTGTTAGTTCAATGCAATGATCACTAAGAATTGTCTGTGAATGCTTCCGTTTGGTTTTTAGATGAAGTTATTTCCTTTACTACAGTAGGCCTCAAAGCAATCCAAATCTCCAATCGCAGATTCTACAAAAACATTGTTTACAACCTGCTCTATCTATAGGAATGTTCAACTGCTGTGAGTCGAATGCAATCATCACAAAGTAGTTTGCTGAGAATGCTTCCATCTAGTTTTTATGGGAAGATATTCCTTTTCCACCACAGGCCTCAAAGCCCTCCAAATGTCCACTTGCAGATTCTAGAAAAAGAGGGTTTCAGAGCTGCTCTGTCAAGAGGAAAGTTCAATTCTTGAAGTGGAACACAAACATCACAAAGCAGTTTCTGAGAGTGCTCCTGTTTAGTTTTTCTGTGAAGATGAACCCGTTTCCAACGAAATCTTCACAGAGGTCCACATATCCACTTGCAGAATCCAAAGAAAGAGAGTTTCAAAACTGCTCCATCAGCAGGATTGTTCACCTCTGTGAGTTGAATGCAGTCATCACAGGAAACATTCTGAGAATGCTTCTTTCTAGGTTTGAAGTGAAGATATACCCGTTTCGAAGGAAGGCCACAAAGTGGTCCAAATATCCACTTGCAGATTCTACAAATAGAGTGTTTGAAAGCTGAACTATGAAAGCAAGGTTCAACTCTGTGAGTTGAATGCAAACATCACAAAGAAGTTTCTCAGCATGCTTCCGTGTAGTTCTGGGAAGTTTATCCCGTTTCCAACGAAATCCTCAGAGAGGTCCAAATATCCACTTGCAGATTCTACAGAAGGTGTGTTTGGAAACTGCGCCATCTAAAGGAATGTTCAGCTCTGTTAGTTCAATGCAATGATCACTAAGAATTGTCTGTGAATGCTTCCGTTTGGTTTTTAGATGAAGTTATTTCCTTTACTACAGTAGGCCTCAAAGCAGTCCAAATCTCCAATCGCAGATTCTACAAAAAGATTGTTTACAACCTGCTCTATCTATAGGAATGTTCAACTCTGTGAGTCGAATGCCATCATCACAAAGTAGTTTCTGAGAATGCTTCCATCTAGTTTTTATGTGAAGATTTTCCTTTTCCACCACAGGCCTCAAAGCCCTCCAAATGTCCACTTGCAGATTCTAGAATAAGAGGGTTTCAGAGCTGCTCTGTCAAGAGGAAAGTTCAATTCCTGAAGTGGAACACAAACATCACAAAGCAGTTTCTGAGAATGCTTCTGTTTAGTTTTTCTGTGAAGATGAACCCGTTTCCAACGAAATCTTCACAGAGGTCCACATATCCACTTGCAGAATCCAAAGAAAGAGAGTTTCAAAACTGCTCCATCAGCAGGATTGTTCACCTCTGTGAGTTGAATGCAGTCATCACAGGAAACATTCTGAGAATGCTTCTGTCTAGGTTTGATGTGAAGATATACCCGTTTCGAAGGAAGGCCACAAAGTGGTCCAAATATCCACTTGCAGATTCTACAAAAAGAGTGTTTGAAAGCTGAACTATGAAAGCAAGGTTCAACTCTGTGAGTTGAATGCAAACATCACAAAGAAGTTTCTCACAATGCTTCCGTGTAGTTCTGGGAAGTTTATCCCGTTTCCAACGAAATCCTCAGAGAAGTCCAAATATCCACTTGCAGATTCTACAGAAAGTGGGTTTGGAAACTGCTCCATCTAAAGGAATGTTCAGCTCTGTTAGTTCAATCCAATGATCACTAAGAATTGTCTGTGAATGCTTCCGTTTGGTTTTTAGATGAAGTTATTTCCTTTACTACAGTAGGCCTCAAAGCAGTCCAAATCTCCAATCGCAGATTCTACAAAAAGATTGTTTACAACCTGGTCTATCTATAGGAATGTTCAACTCTGTGAGTCGAATGCAATCATCACAAAGTAGTTTCTGAGAATGCTTCCATCTAGTTTTTATGTGAAGATTTTCCTTTTCCACCACAGGCCTCAAAGCCCTCCAAATGTCCACTTGCAGATTCTAGAATAAGAGGGTTTCAGAGCTGCTCTGTCAAGAGGAAAGTTCAATTCCTGAAGTGGAACACAAACATCACAAAGCAGTTTCTGAGAATGCTCCTGTTTAATTTTTCTGTGAAGATGAACCCGTTTCCAACGAAATCTTCACAGAGGTCCACATATCCACTTGCAGAATCCAAAGAAAGAGAGTTTCAAAACTCCTCCATCAGCAGGATTGTTCACCTCTGTGAGTTGAATGCAGTCATCACAGGAAACATTCTGAGAATGCTTCTGTCTAGGTTTGATGTGAAGATATACCCTTTTCAAAGGAAGGCCACAAAGTGGTCCAAATATCCACTTGCAGATTCTACAAAAAGAGTGTTTGAAAGCTGAACTATGAAAGCAAGGTTCAACTCTGTGAGTTGAATGCAAACATCACAAAGAAGTTTCTCACAATGCTTCCGTGTAGTTCTGGGAAGTTTATCCCGTTTCCAACGAAATCCTCAGAGAGGTCCAAATATCCACTTGCAGATTCAACAGAAAGTGTGTTTGGAAACTGCGCCACCTAAAGGAATGTTCAACTCTGTTAGTTCAATGCAATGATCACTAAGAATTGTCTGTGAATGCTTCCGTTTGGTTTTTAGATGAAGTTATTTCCTTTACTACAGTAGGCCTCAAAGCAGTCCAAATCTCCAATCGCAGATTCTACAAAAAGATTGTTTACAACCTGCTCTATCTATAGGAATGTTCAACTCTGTGAGTCGAATGCAATCATCACAAAGTAATTTCTGAGAATGCTTCCATCTAGTTTTTATGTGAAGATTTTCCTTTTCCACCACAGGCCTCAAAGCCCTCCAAATGTCCACTTGCAGATTCTAGAAAAAGAGGGTTTCAGAGCTGCTCTGTCAAGAGGAAAGTTCAATTCTTGAAGTGGAACACAAACATCACAAAGCAGTTTCTGAGAATGTTTCTGTTTAGTTTTTCTGTGAAGATGAACCCGTTTCCAACGAAATCTTCACAGAGGTCCACATATCCACTTGCAGAATCCAAAGAAAGAGAGTTTCAAAACTGCTCCATCAGCAGGATTGTTCACCTCTGTGAGTTGAATGCAGTCATCACAGGAAACATTCTGAGAATGCTTATCTGTCTAGGTTTGATGTGAAGATATACCCGTTTCCAAGGAAGGCCACAAAGTGGTCCAAATATCCACTTGCAGATTCTACAAAAAGAGTGTTTGAAAGCTGAACTATGAAAGCAAGGTTCAACTCTGTGAGTTGAATGCAAACATCACAAAGAAGTTTCTCAGAATGCTTCCGTGTAGTTCTGGGAAGTTTATCCCGTTTCCAACGAAATCCTCAGAGAGGTCCAAATATCCACTTGCAGATTCTACAGAAAGTGTGTTTGGAAACTGCGCCATCTAAGGGAATGTTCAGCTCTGTTAGTTCAATCCAATGATCACTAAGAATTGTACTGTGAATGCTTCCGTTTGGTTTTTAGATGAAGTTATTTCCTTTACTACAGTAGGCCTCAAAGCAGTCCAAATCTCCAATCGCAGATTCTACAAAAAGATTGTTTACAACCTGCTCTACCTATAGGAATGTTCAACTCTGTGAGTCGAATGCAATCATCACAAAGTAGTTTCTGAGAATGCTTCCATCTAGTTTTTATGTGAAGATTTTCCTTTTCCACCACAGGCCTCAAAGCCCTCCAAATGTCCACTTGCAGATTCTAGAATAAGAGGGTTTTAGAGCTGCTCTGTCAAGAGGAAAGTTCAATTCCTGAAGTGGAACACAAACATCACAAAGCAGTTTCTGAGAATGCTTCTGTTTAGTTTTTCTGTGAAGATGAACCCGTTTCCAACGAAACCTTCACAGAGGTCCACATATCCACTTGCAGAATCCAAAGAAAGAGAGTTTCAAAACTGCTCCATCAGCAGGATTGTTCACCTCTGTGAGTTGAATGCAGTCATCACAGGAAACATCCTGAGAATGCTTCTGTCTAGGTTTGATGTGAAGATATACCCGTTTCGAAGGAAGGCCACAAAGTGGTCCAAATATCCACTTGAAGATTCTACAAAAAGAGTGTTTGAAAGCTGAACTATGAAAGCAAGGTTCAACTCTGTGAGTTGAATGCAAACATCACAAAGAAGTTTCTCACAATGCTTCCGTGTAGTTCTGGGAAGTTTATCCCGTTTCCAACGAAATCCTCAGTAGAAGTCCAAATATCCACTTGCAGATTCTACAGAAAGTGTGTTTGGAAACTGCTCCATCTAAAGGAATGTTCAGCTCTGTTAGTTCAATGCAATGATCACTAAGAATTGTCTGTGAATGCTTCCGTTTGGTTTTTAGATGAAGTTATTTCCTTTACTACAGTAGGCCTCAAAGCAGTCCAAATCTCCAATCGCAGATTCTACAAAAAGATTGTTTACAACATGCTCTATCTATAGGAATGTTCAACTCTGTGGGTCGAATGCAATCATCACAAAGTAGTTTCTGAGAATGCTTCCATCTAGTTTTTATGTGAAGATTTTCCTTTTCCACCACAGGCCTCAAAGCCCTCCAAATGTCCACTTGCAGATTCTAGAAAAAGAGGGTTTCAGAGCTGCTCTGTCAAGAGGAAAGTTCAATTCTTGAAGTGGAACAGAAACATCACAAAGCAGTTTCTGGGAATGCTTCTTTTTAGTTTTTCTGGGAAGATGAACCCGTTTCCAACCAAATCTTCACAGAGGTCCACATATCCACTTGCAGAATCCAAAGAAAGAGAGTTTCAAAACTGCTCCATCACCAGGATTGTTCACCTCTGTGAGTTGAATGCAGTCATCACAGGAAACATTCTGAGAATGCTTATCTGTCTAGGTTTGATGTGAAGATATACCCATTTCGAAGGAAGGCCACAAAGTGGTCCAAATATCCACTTGCAGATTCTACAAAAAGAGTGTTTGAAAGCTGAACTATCAAAGCAAGGTTCAACTCTGTGAGTTTAATGCAAACATCACAAAGAAGTTTCTCAGAATGCTTCCGTGTAGTTCTGGGAAGTTTATCCCGTTTCCAACGAAATCCTCAGAGAGGTCCAAATATCCACTTGCAGATTCTACAGAAAGTGTGTTTGGAAACTGCGCCATCTAAAGGAATGTTCAGCTCTGTTAGTTCAATGCAATGATCACTAAGAATTGTCTGTGAAAGCTTCCGTTTGGTTTTTAGATGAAGTTATTTCCTTTACTACAGTAGGCCTCAAAGCAGTCCAAATCTCCAATCGCAGATTCTACAAAAAGATTGTTTACAACCTGCTCTATCTATAGGAATGTTCAACTCTGTGAGTCGAATGCAATCATCACAAAGTAGTTTCTGAGAATGCTTCCATCTAGTTTTTATGTGAAGATTTTCCTTTTCCACCACAGGCCTCAAAGCCCTCCAAATGTCCACTTGCAGATTCTAGAAAAAGAGGGTTTCAGAGCTGCTCTGTCAAGAGGAAAGTTCAATTCTTGAAGTGGAACACAAACATCACAAAGCAGTTTCTGAGAATGTTCCTGTTTAGTTTTTCTGTGAAGATGAACCCGTTTCCAACGAAATCTTCACAGAGGTCCACATATCCACTTGCAGAATCCAAAGAAAGAGAGTTTCAAAACTGCTCCATCAGCAGGATTGTTCACCTCTGTGAGTTGAATGCAGTCATCACAGGAAACATTCTGAGAATGCTTCTGTCTAGGTTTGATGTGAAGATATACCCGTTTCGAAGGAAGGCCACAAAGTGGTCCAAATATCCACTTGCAGATTCTACAAAAAGAGTGTTTGAAAGCTGAACTATGAAAGCAAGGTTCAACTCTGTGAGTTGAATGCAAACATCACAAAGAAGTTTCTCAGAATGCTTCCGTGTAGTTCTGGGAAGTTTATCCCGTTTCCAACGAAATCCTCAGAGAGGTCCAAATATCCACTTGCAGATTCTACAGAAAGTGTGTTTGGAAACTGCTCCATCTAAAGGAATGTTCAGCTCTGTTAGTTCAATCCAATGATCACTAAGAATTGTCTGTGAATGCTTCCGTTTGGTTTTTAGATGAAGTTATTTCCTTTACTACAGTAGGCCTCAAAGCAGTCCAAATGTCCAATCGCAGATTCTACAAAAAGATTGTTTACAACCTGCTCTATCTATAGGAATGTTCAACTCTGTGAGTCGAATGCAATCATCACAAAGTAGTTTCTGAGAATGCTTCCATCTAGTTTTTATGTGAAGATTTTCCTTTTCCACCACAGGCCTCAAAGCCCTCCAAATGTCCACTTGCAGATTCTAGAAAAAGAGGGTTTCAGAGCTGCTCTGTCAAGAGGAAAGTTCAATTCTTGAAGTGGAACACAAACATCACAAAGCAGTTTCTGAGAATGCTCCTGTTTAGTTTTTCTGTGAAGATGAACCCGTTTCCAACGAAATCTACACAGAGGTCCACATATCCACTTGCAGAATCCAAAGAAAGAGAGTTTCAAAACTGCTCCATCAGCAGGATTGTTCACCTGCTGTGAGTTGAATGCAGTCATCACAGGAAACATTCTGAGAATGCTTCTGTCTAGGTTTGATGTGAAGATATACCCGTTTCGAAGGAAGGCCACAAAGTGGTCCAAATATCCACTTGCAGATTCTACAAAAAGAGTGTTTGATAGCTGAACTATGAAAGCAAGGTTCAACTCTGTGAGTTGCATGCAAACATCACAAAGAAGTTTCTCAGAATGCTTCCGTGTAGTTCAGGGAAGTTTATCCCGTTTCCAACGAAATCCTCAGAGAGGTCCAAATATCCACTTGCAGATTCTACAGAAAGTGTGTTTGGAAACTGCGCCATCTAAGGGAATGTTCAGCTCTGTTAGTTCAATCCAATGATCACTAAGAATTGTCTGTGAATGCTTCCGTTTGGTTTTTAGATGAAGTTATTTCCTTTACTACAGTAGGCCTCAAAGCAGTCCAAATCTCCAATCGCAGATTCTACAAAAAGATTGTTTACAACCTGCTCTATCTATAGTAATGTTCAACTCTGTGAGTCGAATGAAATCATCACAAGGTAGTTTCTGAGAATGCTTCCATCTAGTTTTTATGTGAAGATTTTCCTTTTCCACCACAGGCCTCAAAGCCCTTCAAATGTCCACTTGCAGATTCTAGAAAAAGAGGGTTTCAGAGCTGCTCTGTCAAGAGGAAAGTTCAATTCCTGAAGTGGAACACAAACATCACAAAGCAGTTTCTGAGAATTCTCCTGTTTAGTTTTTCTGTGAAGATGAGCCCGTTTCCAACGAAATCTTCACAGAGGTCCACATATCCACTTGCAGAATCCAAAGAAAGAGAGTGTCAAAACTGCTCCATCAGCAGGATTGTTCACCTCTGTGAGTTGAATTCAGTCATCACAGGAAACATTCTGAGAATGCTTCTGTCTAGGTTTGATGTGAAGATATACCCGTTTCGAAGGAAGGCCACAAAGTGGTCCAAATATCCACTTGCAGATTCTACAAAAAGAGTGTTTGAAAGCTGAACTATGAAAGCAAGGTTCAACTCTGTGAGTTGAATGCAAACATCACAAAGAAGTTTCTCACAATGCTTCCGTGTAGTTCTGGGAAGTTTATCCCGTTTCCAACGAAATCCTCAGAGAGGTCCAAATATCCACTTGCAGATTTTACAGAAAGTGTGTTTGGAAACTGCGCCATCTAAAGGAATGTTCAGCTCTGTTAGTTCAATGCAATGATCACTAAGAATTGTCTGTGAATGCTTCCGTTTGGTTTTTAGATGAAGTTATTTCCTTTACTACAGTAGGCCTCAAAGCAGTCCAAATCTCCAATCGCAGATTCTACAAAAAGATTGTTTACAACCTGCTCTATCTATAGGAATGTTCAACTATGTGAGTCGAATGCAATCATCACAAAGTAGTTTCTGAGAATGCTTCCATCTAGTTTTTATGTGAAGATTTTCCTTTTCCACCACAGGCCTCAAAGCCCTCCAAATGTCCACTTGCAGATTCTAGAAAAAGAGGGTTTCAGAGCTGCTCTGTCAAGAGGAAAGTTCAATTCCTGAAGTGGAACACAAACATCACAAAGCAGTTTCTGGGAATGCTCCTGTTTAGTTTTTCTGTGAAGATGAACCCGTTTCCAACGAAATCTTCACAGAGGTCCACATATCCACTTGCAGAATCCAAAGAAAGGGAGTTTCAAAACTGCTCCATCAGCAGGATTGTTCACCTCTGTGAGTTGAATGCAGTCATCACAGGAAACATTCTGCGAATGCTTCTGTCTAGGTTTGATGTGAAGATATACCCGTTTCGAGGGAAGGCCACAAAGTGGTCCAAATATCCACTTGCAGATTCTACAAAAAGAGTGTTTGAAAGCTGAACTATGAAAGCAAGGTTCAACTCTGTGAGTTGAATGCAAACATCAGAAAGAAGTTTCTCACAATGCTTCCGTGTAGTTCTGGGAAGTTTATCCCGTTTCCAACGAAATCCTCAGAGAGAGTCCAAATATCCACTTGCAGGATTCTACAGAACAGATGTGTTTGGAAACTGCGCCATCTGAAGGAATGTTCAGCTCTGTTAGTTCAATCCAATGATCACTAAGAATTGTCTGTGAATGCTTCCGTTTGGTTTTTAGATGAAGTTATTTCCTTTACTACAGTAGGCCTCAAAGCAGTCCAAATCTCCAATCGCAGATTCTACAAAAAGATTGTTTACAACCTGCTCTATGTATAGGAATGTTCAACTCTGTGAGTCGAATGCAATCATCACAAAGTAGTTTCTGAGAATGCTTCCATCTAGTTTTTATGTGAAGATTTTCCTTTTCCACCACAGGCCTCAAAGCCCTCCAAATGTCCACTTGCAGATTCTAGAAAAAGAGGGTTTCAGAGCTGCTCTGTCAAGAGGAAAGTTCAATTCCTGAAGTGGAACACAAACATCACAAAGCAGTTTCTGAGAATGCTTCTGTTTAGTTTTTCTGTGAAGATAAACCCGTTTCCAACGAAATCTTCACAGAGGTCCACATATCCACTTGCAGAATCCAAAGAAAGAGAGTTTCAAAACTGCTCCATCAACAGGATTGTTCACCTCTGTGAGTTGAATGCAGTCATCACAGGAAACATTCTTAGAATGCTTCTGTCTAGGTTTGATGTGAAGATATACCCGTTTCGAAGGAAGGCCACAAAGTGGTCCAAATATCCACTTGCAGATTCTACAAAAAGAGTGTTTGAAAGCTGAACTATGAAAGCAAGGTTCAACTCTGTGAGTTGAATGAAAACATCACAAAGAAGTTTCTCACAATGCTTCCGTGTAGTTCTGGGAAGTTTATCCCGTTTCCAACGAAATCCTCAGAGAAGTCCAAATATCCACTTGCAGATTCTACAGAAAGTTTGTTTGGAAACTGCTCCATCTAAAGGAATGTTCAGCTCTGTTAGTTCAATCCAATGATCACTAAGAATTGTCTGTGAATGCTTCCGTTTGGTTTTTAGATGAAGTTATTTCCTTTACTACAGTAGGCCTCAAAGCAGTCCAAATCTCCAATCGCAGATTCTACAAAAAGATTGTTTACAACCTGCTCTATCTATAGGAATGTTAACTCTGTGAGTCGAATGCAATCATCACAAAGTAGTTTCTGAGAACGCTTCCATCTAGTTTTTATGTGAAGATTTTCCTTTTCCACCACAGGCCTCAAAGCCCTCCAAATGTCCACTTGCAGATTCTACAAAAAGAGGGTTTCAGAGCTGCTCTGTCAAGAGGAAAGCTCAATTCTTGAAGTGGAACACAAACATCACAAAGCAGTTTCTGAGAATGCTTCTGTTTAGTTTTTCTGTGAAGATGAACCCGTTTCCAACGAAATCTTCACAGAGGTCCACATATCCACTTGCAGAATCCAAAGAAAGAGAGTTTCAAAACTGCTCCATCAGCAGGATTGTTCACCTCTGTGAGTTGAATGCAGTCATCACAGGAAACATTGCTGAGAATGCTTCTGTCTAGGTTTGATGTGAAGATATACCCGTTTCGAAGGAAGGCCACAAAGTGGTCCAAACATCCACTTGCAGATTCTACAAAAAGAGTGTTTGAAAGCTGAACTATGAAAGCAAGGTTCAACTCTGTGAGTTGAATGCAAACATCACAAAGAAGTTTCTCAGCATGCTTCCCGTGTAGTTCTGGGAAGTTTATCCCGTTTCCAACGAAATCCTCAGAGAGGTCCAAATATCCACTTGCAGATTCTAAAGAAAGTGTGTTTGGAAACTGCGCCATCTAAAGGAATGTTCAGCTCTGTTAGTTCAATGCAATGATCACTAAGAATTGTCTGTGAATGCTTCCGTTTGGTTTTTAGATGAAGTTATTTCCTTTACTACAGTAGGCCTCAAAGCAGTCCAAATCTCCAATCGCAGATTCTACAAAAAGATTGTTTACAACCTGCTCTATCTATAGGAATGTTCAACTCTGTGAGTCGAATGCAATCATCACAAAGTAGTTTCTGAGAATGCTTCCATCTAGTTTTTATGTGAAGATTTTCCTTTTCCACCACAGGCCTCAAAGCCCTCCAAAGGTCCACTTGCAGATTCTAGAAAAAGAGGGTTTCAGAGCTGCTCTGTCAAGAGGAAAGTTCAATTCCTAAAGTGGAACACAATCATCACAAAGCAGTTTCTGAGAATGCTTCTGTTTAGTTTTTCTGTGAAGATGAACCCGTTTCCAACGAAATCTTCACAGAGGTCCACATATCAACTTGCAGAATCCAAAGAAAGAGAGTTTCAAAAGTGCTCCATCAACAGGATTGTTCACCTCTGTGAATTGAATGCAGTCATCACAGGAAACATTCTGAGAATGCTTCTGTCTAGGTTTGATGTGAAGATATACCCGTTTCGAAGGAAGGCCACAAAGTGGTCCAAATATCCACTTGCAGATTCTACAAAAAGAGTGTTTGAAAGCTGAACTATGAAAGCAAGGTTCAACTCTGTGAGTTGAATGCAAACATCACAAAGAAGTTTCTCAGAATGCTTCCGTGTAGTTCTGGGAAGTTTATCCCGTTTCCAACGAAATCCTCAGAGAAGTCCAAATATCCACTTGCAGATTCTACAGAAAGTGGGTTTGGAAACTGCTCCATCTAAAAGAATCTTCAGCTCTGTTAGTTCAATGCAATGATCACTAAGAATTGTCTGTGAATGCTTCCGTTTGGTTTTTAGATGAAGTTATTTCCTTTACTACAGTAGGCCTCAAAGCAGTCCAAATCTCCAATCGCAGATTCTACAAAAAGATTGTTTACAACCTGCTCTATCTATAGGAATGTTCAACTCTGTGAGTCGAATGCAATCATCACAAAGTAGTTTCTGAGAATGCTTCCATCCAGTTTTTATGTGAAGATTTTCCTTTTCCACCACAGGCCTCAAAGCCCTCCAAATGTCCACTTGCAGATTCTAGAAAAAGAGGGTTTCAGAGCTCCTCTATCAAGAGGAAAGTTCAATTCTTGAAGTGGAACACAAACATCACAAAGCAGTTTCTGAGAATGCTCCTGTTTAGTTTTTTTGTGAAGATGAACCCGTTTCCAACGAAATCTTCACAGAGGTCCACATATCCACTTGCAGAATCCAAAGAAAGAGAGTTTCAAAACTGCTCCATCAGCAGGATTGTTCACCTCTGTGAGTTGAATGCAGTCATCACAGGAAACATTCTGAGAATGCTTCTGTCTAGGTTTCATGTGAAGATATACCCGTTTCGAAGGAAGGCCACAAAGTGGTCGAAATATCCACTTGCAGATTCTACAAAAAGAGTGTTTGAAAGCTGAACTATGAAAGCAAGGTTCAACTCTGTGAGTTGAATGCAAACATCACAAAGAAGTTTCTCAGAATGCTTCCGTGTAGTTTTGGGAAGTTTATCCCGTTTCCAACGAAATCCTCAGAGAGGTCCAAATATCCACTTGCAGATTCTACAGAAAGTGTGTTTGGAAAATGCTCCATCTAAAGGAATGTTCAGCTCTGTTAGTTCAATCCAATGATCACTAAGAATTGTCTGTGAATGCTTCCGTTTGGTTTTTAGATGAAGTTATTTCCTTTACTACAGTAGGCCTCAAAGCAGTCCAAATCTCCAATCGCAGATTCTACAAAAAGATTGTTTACAACCTGCTCTATCTATAGGAATGTTCAACTCTGTGAGTCGAATGCAATCATCACAAAGTAGTTTCTGAGAATGCTTCTATCTAGGTTTTATGTGAAGATATTTCCTTTTCCACCACAGGCCTCAAAGCCCTCCAAATGTCCACCTGCAGATTCTAGAAAAAGAGGGTTTCAGAGCTGCTCTGTCAAGAGGAAAGTTCAATTCTTGAAGTGGAACACAAACATCACAAAGCAGTTTCTGAGAATGCTTCTGTTTAGTTTTTCTGTGAAGATGAACCCGTTTCCAACGAAATCTTCACAGAGGTCCACATATCCACTTGCAGAATCCAAAGAAAGAGAGTTTCAAAACTGCTCCATCAGCAGGATTGTTCACCTCTGTGAGTTGAATGCAGTCATCACAGGAAACATTCTGAGAATGCTTCTGTCTAGGTTTGATGTGGAGATATACCCGTTTCGAAGGAAGGCCACAAAGTTGTCCAAATATCCACTTGCAGATTCTACAAAAAGAGTGTTTGAAAGCTGAACTATGAAAGCAAGGTTCAACTCTGTGAGTTGAATGCAAACATCACAAATAAGTTTCTCAGCATGCTTCCGTGTAGTTCTGGGAAGTTTATCCCGTTTCCAACGAAATCCTCAGAGAGGTCCAAATATCCACTTGCAGATTCTACAGAAAGTTGGTTTGGAAACTGCTCCATCTAAAGGAATGTTCAGCTCTGTTAGTTCAATCCAATGATCACTAAGAATTGTCTGTGAATGCTTCCGTTTGGTTTTTAGATGAAGTTATTTCCTTTACTACAGTAGGCCTCAAAGCAGTCCAAATCTCCAATCGCAGATTCTACAAAAACATTGTTTACAACCTGCTCTATCTATAGTAATGTTCAACTCTGTGAGTCGAATGCAATCATCACAAAGTAGTTTCTGAGAATGCTTCCATCTAGTTTTTATGGGAAGATTTTCCTTTTCCACCACAGGCCTCAAAGCCCTCCAAATGTCCACTTGCAGATTCTAGAAAAAGAGGGTTTCAGAGCTGCTCTGTCAAGAGGAAAGTTCAATTCTTGAAGTGGAACACAAACATCACAAAGCAGTTTCTGAGAATGCTTCTGTTTAGTTTTTCTGTGAAGATGAACCGGTTTCCAACGAAATCTTCACAGGAGGTCCACATATCAACTTGCAGAATCCAAAGAAAGAGAGTTTCAAAAGTGCTCCATCAACGGGATTGTTCACCTCTGTGAGTTGAATGCAGTCATCACAGGAAACATTCTGATAATGCTTCTGTCTAGGTTTGATGTGAAGATATACCCGTTTCAAAGGAAGGCCACAAAGTGGTCCAAATATCCACTTGCAGATTCTACAAAAAGAGTGTTTGAAAGCTGAACTATGAAAGCAAGGTTCAACTCTGTGAGTTGAATGCAAACATCACAAAGAAGTTTCTCACAATGCTTCCGTGTAGTTCTGGGAAGTTTATCCCTTTTCCAACGAAATCCACAGAGAGGTCCAAATATCCACTTGCAGATTCTACAGAAAGTGTGTTTGGAAACTGCTCCATCTAAAGGAATGTTCAGCTCTGTTAGTTCAATCCAATGATCACTAAGAATTGTCTGTGAATGCTTCCGTTTGGTTTTTAGATGAAGTTATTTCCTTTACTACAGTAGGCCTCAAAGCAGTCCAAATCTCCAATCGCAGATTCTACAAAAAGATTGTTTACAACCTGCTCTATCTATAGGAATGTTCAACTCTGTGAGTCGAATGCAATCATCACAAAGTAGTTTCTGAGAATGCTTCCATCTAGTTTTTATGTGAAGATTTTCCTTTTCCACCACAGGCCTCAAAGCCCTCCAAATGTCCACTTGCAGATTCTAGAATAAGAGTGTTGCAGAGCTGCTCTGTCAAGAGGAAAGTTCAATTCCTGAAGTGGAACACAAACATCACAAAGCAGTTTCTGAGAATGCTTCTGTTTAGTTTTTCTGTGAAGATGAACCCGTTTCCAACGAAATCTTCACAGAGGTCCACATATCAAATTGCAGAATCCAAAGAAAGAGAGTTTCAAAAGTGCTCCATCAACAGGATTGTTCACCTCTGTGAGTTGAATGCAGTCATCACAGGAAACATTCTGAGAATGCTTCTGTCTAGGTTTGATGTGAAGATATACCCTTTTCAAAGGAAGGCCACAAAGTGGTCCAAATATCCACTTGCAGATTCTACAAAAAGAGTGTTTGAAAGCTGAACTATGAAAGCAAGGTTCAACTCTGTGAGTTGAATGCAAACATCACAAAGAAGTTTCTCACAATGCTTCCCTGTAGTTCTGGGAAGCATATCCCGTTTCCAACGATATCCTCAGAGAAGTCCAAATATCCACTTGCAGATTCTACAGAAAGTGGGTTTGGAAACTGCTCCATCTAAAGGAATGTTCAGCTCTGTTAGTTCCATCCAATGATCACTAAGAATTGTCTGTGAATGCTTCCGTTTGGTTTTTAGATGAAGTTATTTCCTTTACTACAGTAGGCCTGAAAGCAGTCCAAATCTCCAATCGCAGATTCTACAAAAAGATTGTTTACAACCTGCTCTATCTATAGGAATGTTCAACTCTGTGAGTCGAATGCAATCATCACAAAGTAGTTTCTGAGAATGCTTCCATCTAGTTTTTATGTGAAGATTTTCCTTTTCCACTACAGGCCTCAAAGCCCTCCAAATGTCCACTTGCAGATTCTAGAAAAAGAGGGTTTCAGAGCTGCTCTGTCAAGAGGAAAGTTCAATTCCTGAAGTGGAACACAAACATCACAAAGCAGTTTCTGAGAATGCTTCTGTTTAGATTTTCTGTGAAGATGAACCCGTTTCCAACGACATCTTCACAGAGGTCCACATATCAACTTGCAGAATCCAAAGAAAGAGAGTTTCAAAACTGCTCCATCAACAGGATTGTTCACCTCTGTGAGTTGAATGCAGTCATCACAGGAAACATTCTGAGAATGCTTCTGTCTAGGTTTGATGTGAAGATATACCCGTTTCAAAGGAATGCCACAAAGTGGTCCAAATATCCACTTGCAGATTCTACAAAAAGAGTGTTTGAAAGCTGAACTATGAAAGCAAGGTTCAACTCTGTGAGTTGAATGCAAACATCACAAAGAAGTTTCTCACAATGCTTCCGTGTAGTTCTGGGAAGTTTATCCCGTTTCCAACGAAATCCTCAGAGAAGTCCAAATATCCACTTGCAGATTCTACAGAAAGTGTGTTTGGAAACTGCTCCATCTAAAGGAATGTTCAGCTCTGTTAGTTCAATCCAATGATCACTAAGAATTGTCTGTGAATGCTTCCGTTTGGTTTTTAGATGAAGTTATTTCCTTTACTGCAGTAGGCCTCAAAGCATTCCAAATCTCGAATCGCAGATTCTACAAAAAGATTGTTTACAACCTGCTCTATCTATAGGAATGTTCAACTCTGTGAGTCGAATGCAATCATCACAAAGTAGTTTCTGAGAATGCTTCCATCTAGTTTTTATGTGAAGATTTTCCTTTTCCACCACAGGCCTCAAAGCCCTCCAAATGTCCACTTGCAGATTCTAGAAAAAGAGGGTTTCAGAGCTGCTCTGTCAAGAGGAAAGTTCAATTCTTGAAGTGGAACACAAACATCACAAAGCAGTTTCTGAGAATGCTCCTGTTTAGTTTTTCTGTGAAGATGAACCCGTTTCCAACGAAATCTTCACAGAGGTCCACATATCCACCTGCAGAATCCAAAGAAAGAGAGTTTCAAAACTGCTCCATCAACAGGATTGTTCACCTCTGTGAGTTGAATGCAGTCATCACAGGAAAACATTCTGAGAATGCTTCTGTCTAGGTTTGATGTGAAGATATACCCGTTTCGAAGGAAGGCCACAAAGTGGTCCAAATATCCACTTGCAGATTCTACAAAAAGAGTGTTTGAAAGCTGAACTATGAAAGCAAGGTTCAACTCTGTGGGATGAATGCACACATCACAAAGAAGTTTCTGAGAATGCTTCCGTGTAGTTCTGGGAAGTTTATCCCTTTTCCAAAGAAATCCTCAGAGAGGTCCAAATATCCACTTGCAGATTCTACAGAAAGTGTGTTTGCAAACTGCGCCATCTAAAGGAATGTTCAGCTCTCTTAGTTCAATCCAATCATCACAAAGAATTTTCTGTGTATGCTTCCGTTTGGTTTTTAGATGAAGTTATTTCCTTTACTACAGTAGGCCTCAAAGCAGTCCAAATCTCCAATCGCAGATTCTACAAAAACTTTGTTTACAACCTGCTCTATCTATAGGAATGTTCAACTCTGTGAGTCGAATGCAATCATCACAAAGTAGTTTCTGAGAATGCTTCCATCTAGTTTTTATGTGAAGATTTTCCTTTTCCACCACAGGCCTCAAAGCCCTCCAAATGTCCACTTGCAGATTCTAGAATAAGAGGGTTTCAGAGCTGCTCTGTCAAGAGGAAAGTTCAATTCCTGAAGTGGAACACAAACATCACAAAGCAGTTTCTGAGAATGCTTCTGTTTAGTTTTTCTGTGAAGATGAACCCGTTTCCAACGAAATCTTCACAGAGGTCCACATATCCACTTGCAGAATCCAAAGAAAGAGAGTTTCAAAACTGCTCCATCAGCAGGATTGTTCACCTCTGTGAGTTGAATGGAGTCATCACAGGAAACATTCTGAGAATGCTTCTGTCTAGGTTTGATGTGAAGATATGCCCGTTTCGAAGGAAGGCCACAAAGTGGTCCAAATATCCACTTGCAGATCCTAAAAAAGAGTGTTTGAAAGCTGAACTATGAAAGCAAGGTTCAACTCTGTGAGTTGAATGCAAACATCACAAAGAAGATTCTCACAATGCTTCCGTGTAGTTTGGGAAGTTTATCCCGTTTCCAAAGAAATCCTCAGAGAGGTCCAAATATCCACTTGCAGATTCTACAGAAAGTGTGTTTGGAAACTGCGCCATCTAAAGGAATGTTCAGCTCTGTTAGTTCAATCCAATGATCACTAAGAATTGTCTGTGAATGCTTCCGTTTGGTTTTTAGATGAAGTTATTTCCTTTACTACAGTAGGCCTCAAAGCAATCCAAATCTCCAATCGCAGATTCTACCAAAAGATTGTTTACAACCTGCTCTATCTATAGGAATGTTCAACTCTGTGAGTCGAATGCAATCATCACAAAGTAGTTTCTGAGAATGCTTCCATCTAGTTTTTATGTGAAGATTTTCCTTTTCCACCACAGGCCTCAAAGCCCTCGAAATGTCCACTTGCAGATTCTAGAAAAAGAGGGTTTCAGAGCTGCTCTGTCAAGAGGAAAGTTCAATTCTTGAAGTGGAACACAAACATCACAAAGCAGTTTCTGAGAATGCTCCTGTTTAGTTTTTCTGTGAAGATGAACCCGTTTCCAACGAAATCTTCACAGAGGTCCACATATCCACTTGCAGAATCCAAAGAAAGAGAGTTTCAAAACTGCTCCAACAGCAGGATTGTTCACCTCTGTGAGTTGAATGCAGTCATCACAGGAAACATTCGGAGAATGCTTCTGTCTAGGTTTGATGTGAAGATATACCCGTTTCGAAGGAAGGCCACAAAGTGGTCCAAATATCCACTTGCAGATTCTACAAAAAGAGGGTTTGAAAGCTGAACTATGAAAGCAAGGTTCAACTCTGTGAGTTGAATGCAAACATCACAAAGAAGTTTCTCAGAATGCTTCCGTGTAGTTCTGGGAAGTTTATCCCGTTTCCAACGAAATCCTCAGAGAAGTCCAAATATCCACTTGCAGATTCTACAGAAAGTGGGTTTGGAAACTGCTCCATCTAAAGGAATGTTCAGCTCTGTTAGTTCAATGCAATGATCACTAAGAATTGTCTGTGAATGCTTCCGTTTGGTTTTTAGATGAAGTTATTTCCTTTACTACAGTAGGCCTCAAAGCAGTCCAAATCTCCAATCGCAGATTCTACAAAAAGATTGTTTACAACCTGCTCTATCTATAGGAAATGTTCAACTCTGTGAGTCGAATGCAATCATCACAAAGTAGTTTCTGAGAATGCTTCCGTCTAGTTTTTATGTGAAGATTTTCCTTTTCCACCACAGGCCTCAAAGCCCTCCAAATGTCCACTTGCAGATTCTAGAAAAAGAGGGTTTCAGAGCTGCTCTGTCAAGAGGAAAGTTCAATTCCTGAAGTGGAACACAAACATCACAAAGCAGTTTCTGAGAATGCTTCTGTTTAGTTTTTCTGTGAAGATGAACCCGTTTCCAACGAAATCTTCACAGTAGGTCCACATATCAACTTGCAGAATCCAAAGAAAGAGAGTTTCAAAAGTGCTCCATCAACAGGATTGTTCACCTCTGTGAGTTGAATGCAGTCATCACAGGAAACATTCTGAGAATGCTTCTGTCTAGGTTTGATGTGAAGATATACCCGTTTCGAAGGAAGGCCACAAAGTGGTCCAAATATCCACTTGCAGATTCTACAAAAAGAGTGTTTGAAAGCTGAACTATGAAAGCAAGGTTCAACTCTGTGAGTTGAATGCAAACATCACAAAGAAGTTTCTCAGAATGCTTCCGTGTAGTTCTCGGAAGTTTATCCCGTTTCCAACGAAATCCTCAGAGAAGTCCAAATATCCACTTGCAGATTCTACAGAAAGTCTTTTGGAAACTGCGCCATCTAAAGGAATGTTCAGCTCTGTTAGTTCAATCCAGTGATCACTAAGAATTGTCTTTGAATGCTTCCGTTTGGTGTTTAGATGAAGTTATTTCCTTTACTACAGTAGGCCTCAAAGCAGTCCAAATCTCCAATCGCAGATTCTACAAAAAGATTGTTTACAACCTGCTCTATCTATAGGAATGTTCAACTCTGTGAGTCGAATGCAATCATCACAAAGTAGTTTCTGAGAATGCTTCCATCTAGTTTTTATGTGAAGATTTTCCTTTTCCACCACAGGCCTCAAAGCCCTCCAAATGTCCACTTGCAGATTCTAGAAAAAGAGGGTTTCAGAGCTGCTCTGTCAAGAGGAAATTTCAATTCTAGAAGTGGAACACAAACATCACAAAGTAGTTTCTGAGAATGCTTCTGTTTAGTTTTTCTGTGAAGATGAACCCGTTTCCAACGAAATCTTCACAGAGGTCCACATATCCACTTGCAGAATCCAAAGAATGAGAGTTTCAAAACTGCTCCATCAGCAGGATTGTTCACTTCTGTGAGTTGATTGCAGTCATCACAGGAAACATTCCGAGAATGCTTCTGTCTAGGTTTGATGTGAAGATATACCCGTTTCGAAGGAAGGCCACAAAGTGGTCCAAATATCCACTTGCAGATTCTACAAAAAGAGTGTTTGAAAGCTGAACTATGAAAGCAAGGTTCAACTCTGTGAGTTGAATGCAAACATCACAAAGAAGTTTCTCACAATGCTTCCGTGTAGTTCTGGGAAGTTTATCCCGTTTCCAACGAAATCCTCAGAGAAGTCCAAATATCCACTTGCACATTCTACAGAAAGTGTGTTTGGAAACTGCTCCATCTAAAGGAATGTTCAGCTCTGTTAGTTCAATGCAATGATCACTAAGAATTGTCTGTGAATGCTTCCGTTTGGTTTTTAGATGAAGTTATTTCCTTTACTACAGTAGGCCTCAAAGCAGTCCAAATCTCCAATCGCAGATTCTACAAAAAGATTGTTTACAACCTGCTCTATCTATAGGAATGTTCAACTCTGTGAGTCGAATGCAATCATCACAAAGTAGTTTCTGAGAATGCTTCCATCTAGTTTTTATGTGAAGATTTTCCTTTTCCACCACAGGCCTCAAAGCCCTCCAAATGTCCACTTGCAGACTCTAGAAAAAGAGGGTTTCAGAGCTGCTCTGTCAAGAGGAAAGTTCAATTCTTGAAGTGGAACACAAACATCACAAAGCAGTTTCTGAGAATGCTTCTGTTTAGTTTTTCTGTGAAGATGAACCCGTTTCCAACGAAATCTTCACAGAGGTCCACATATCCACTTGCAGAATCCAAAGAAAGAGAGTTTCAAAACTGCTCCATCAGCAGGATTGTTCACCTCTGTGAGTTGAATGCAGTCATCACAGGAAACATTCTGAGAATGCTTCTCTCTAGGTTTGATGTGAAGATATACCCGTTTCGAAGGAAGGCCACAAAGTGGTCCAAATATCCACTTGCAGATTCTACAAAAAGAGTGTTTGAAAGCTGAACTATGAAAGCAAGGTTCAACTCTGTGTGTTGAATGCAAACATCACAAAGAAGGTTCTCAGAATGCTGCCGTGTAGTTCTAGGAAGTTTATCCCGTTTCCAACGAAATCCTCAGAGAGGTCCAAATATCCACTTGCAGATTCTACAGAAAGTGTGTTTGGAAACTGCGCCATCTAAAGGAATGTTCAGCTCTGTTAGTTCAATCCAATGATCACTAAGAATTGTCTTTGAATGCTTCCGTTTGGTTTTTAGATGAAGTTATTTCCTTTACTACAGTAGGCCTCAAAGCAGTCCAAATCTCCAATCGCAGATTCTACAAAAAGATTGTTTACAACCTGCTCTATCTATAGGAGTGTTCAACTCTGTGAGTCGAATGCAATCATCACAAAGTAGTTTCTGAGAATGCTTCCATCTAGTTTTTATGTGAAGATTTTCCTTTTCCACCACAGGCCTCAAAGCCCTCCAAATGTCCACTTGCAGATTCTAGAATAAGAGGGTTTCAGAGCTGCTCTGTCAAGAGGAAAGTTCAATTCTTGAAGTGGAACACAAACATCACAAAGCAGTTTCTGAGAATGCTTCTGTTTAGTTTTTCTGTGAAGATGAACCCGTTTCCAACGAAATCTTCACAGAGGTCCACATATCCACTTGCAGAATCCAAAGAAAGAGAGTTTCAAAACAGCTCCATCAGCAGGATTGTTCACCTGCTGTGAGTTGAATGCAGTCATCACAGGAAACATTCTGAGAATGCTTTCTGTCTAGGTTTGATGTGAAGATATACCCGTTTCGAAGGAAGGCCACAAAGTGGTCCAAATATCCACTTGCAGATTCTACAAAAAGAGTGTTTGAAAGCTGAACTATGAAAGCAAGGTTCAACTCTGTGAGTTGAATGCAAACATCACAAAGAAGTTTCTCAGAATGCTTCCCTGTAGTTCTGGGAAGTTTATCCCGTTTCCAACGAAATCCTCAGAGAAGTCCAAATATCCACTTGCAGATTCTACAGAAAGTGTGTTTGGAAACTGCTCCATCTAAAGGAATGTTCAGCTCTGTTAATTCAATGCAATGATCACTAAGAATTGTCTGTGAATGCTTCCGTTTGGTTTTTAGATGAAGTTATTTCCTTTACTACAGTAGGCCTCAAAGCAGTCCAAATCTCCAATCGCAGATTCTACAAAAAGATTGTTTACAACCTGCTCTATGTATAGGAATGTTCAACTCTGTGAGTCGAATGCAATCATCACAAAGTAGTTTCTGAGAATGCTTCCATCTAGTTTTTATGTGAAGATTTTCCTTTTCCACCACAGGCCTCAAAGCCCTCCAAATGTCCACTTGCAGATTCTGGAAAAAGAGGGTTTCAGAGCTGCTCTTTCAAGAGGAAAGTTCAATTCCTGAAGTGGAACACAAATATCACAAAGCAGTTTCTGAGAATGCTTCTGTTTAGTTTTTCTGTGAAGATGAACCCGTTTCCAACGAAATCTTCACAGAGGTCCACATATCCACTTGCAAAATCCAAAGAAAGACAGTTTCAAAACTGCTCCATCAGCAGGATTGTTCACCTCTGTGAGTTGAATGCAGTCATCACAGGAAACATTCTGAGAATGCTTCTGTCTAGGTTTGATGTGAAGATATACCCGTTTCGAAGGAAGGCCACAAAGTGGTCCAAATATCCACTTGCAGATTCTACAAAAAGAGTGTTTGAAAGCTGAACTGTGAAAGCAAGGTTCAACTCTGTGAGTTGAATGCAAACATCACAAAGAAGTTTCTCAGAATGCTTCCGTGTAGTTCTGGGAAGTTTATCCCGTTTCCAACGAAATCCTCAGAGAAGTCCAAATATCCACTTGCAGATTCTACAGAAAGTGTGTTTGGAAACTGCGCCATCTAAAGGAATGTTCAGCTCTGTTAGTTCAATGCAATAATCACTAATAATTGTCTGTGAATGCTTCCGTTTGGTTTTTGGATGAAGTTATTTCCTTTACTACAGTAGGCCTCAAAGCAGTCCAAATCTCCAATCGCAGATTCTACAAAAAGATTGTTTTCAACCTGCTCTATCTATAGGAATGTTCAACTCTGTGAGTCGAATGCAATCATCACAAAGTAGTTTCTGAGAATGCTTCCATCTAGTTTTTATGTGAAGATTTTCCTTTTCCACCACAGGCCTCAAAGCCCTCCAAATGTCCACTTGCAGATTCTAGAATAAGAGGTTTTCAGAGCTGCTCTGTCAAGAGGAAAGTTCAATTCCTGAAGTGGAACACAAACATCACAAAGCAGTTTCTGATAATGATTCTGTTTAGTTTTTCTGTGAAGATGAACCCGTTTCCAACGAAATCTTCACAGAGGTCCACATATCCACTTGCAGAATCCAAAGAAAGAGAGTTTCAAAACTGCTCCATCAGCAGGATTGTTCACCTCTGTGAGTTGAATGCAGTCATCACAGGAAACATTCTGAGAATGCTTCTGTCTAGGTTTGATGTGAAGATATACCCGTTTCGAAGGAAGGCCACAAAGTGGTCCAAATATCCACTTGCAGATTCTACAGAAAGAGTGTTTGAAAGCTGAACTATGAAAGCAAGGTTCAACACTGTGAGTTGAATGCAAACATCACAAAGAAGTTTCTCACAATGCTTTCCGTGTAGTTCTGGGAAGTTTATCCCGTTTCCAACGAATTCCTCAGAGAGGTCCAAATATCCACTTGCAGATTCTACAGAAAGTGTGTTTGGAAACTGCGCCATCTAAAGGAATGTTCAGCTCAGTTAGTTCAATCCAATGATCACTAAGAATTGTCTGTGAATGCTTCCGTTTGGTTTTTAGATGAAGTTATTTCCTTTACTACAGTAGGCCTCAAAGCAGTCCAAATCTCCAATCGCAGATTCTACAAACAGATTGTTTTCAACCTGCTCTATCTATACCAATGTTCAACTCTGTGAGTCGAATGCAATCATCACAAAGTAGTTTCTGAGAATGCTTCCATCTAGTTTTTATGGGAAGATTTTCCTTTTCCACCACAGGCCTCAAAGCCCTCCAAATGTCCACTTGCAGATTCTAGAAAAAGAGGGTTTCAGAGCTGCTCTGTCAAGAGGAAAGTTCAATTCTTGAAGTGGAACACAAACATCACAAAGCAGTTTCTGAGAATGCTTCTGTTTTGTTTTTCTGTGAAGATGAACCCGTTTAAAACGAAATCTTCACGGAGGTCCACATATCCACTTGCAGAATCGAAAGAAAGAGAGTTTCAAAACTGCTCCATCAGCAGGATTGTTCACCTCGGTGAGTTGAATGCAGTCATCACAGGAAACATTCTGAGAATGCTTCTGTCTAGGTTTGATGTGAAGATATACCCGTTTCGAAGGAAGGCCACAAAGTGGTCCAAATATCCACTTGCAGATTCTACAAAAAGAATGTTTGAAAGCTGAACTATGAAAGCAAGTTTCAACTCTGTGAGTTGAATGCAAACATCACAAAGAAGTTTCTCAGAATGCTTCCGTGTAGTTCTGGGAAGTTTATCCCGTTTCCAACGAAATCCTCAGAGAGGTCCAAATATCCACTTGCAGATTCTACAGAAAGTGTGTTTGGAAACTGCGCCATCTAAAGGAATGTTCAGCTCTGTTAGTTCAATGCCATGATCACTAAGAATTGTCTGTGAATGCTTCCGTTTGGTTTTTAGATGAAGTTATTTCCTTTACTACAGTAGGCCTCAAAGCAGTCCAAATCTCCAATCGCAGATTCTACAAAAAGATTGTTTACAACCTGCTCTATCTATAGGAATGTTCAACTCTGTGAGTCGAATGCAATCATCACAAAGTAGTTTCTGAGAATGCTTCCATCTAGTTTTTATGTGAAGATTTTCCTTTTCCACCACAGGCCTCAAAGCCCTCCAAATGTCCACTTGCAGATTCTAGAAAAAGAGGGTTTCAGAGCTGCTCTGTCAAGAGGAAAGTTCAATTCTTGAAGTGGAACACAAACATCACAAAGCAGTTTCTGAGAATGCTTCTGTTTAGTTTTTCTGTGAAGATGAACCCGTTTCCAACGAAATCTTCACAGAGGTCCACATATCCACTTGCAGAATCCAAAGAAAGAGAGTTTCAAAACTGCTCCATCAACAGGATTGTTCACCTCTGTGAGTTGAATGCAGTCATCACAGGAAACATTCTGAGAATGCTTCTGTCTAGGTTTGATGTGAAGATATACCCGTTTCGAAGGAAGGCCACAAAGTGGTCCAAATATCCACTTGCAGATTCTACAAAAACAGTGTTTGAAAGCTGAACTATGAAAGCAAGGTTCAACTCTGTGAGTTGAATGCAAACATCACAAAGAAGTTTCTCACAATGCTTCCGTGTAGTTCTGGGAAGTTTATCCCGTTTCCAACGAAATCCTCAGAGAGGTCCAAATATCCACTTGCAGATTCTACAGAAAGTGTGTTTGGAAACTGCGCCATCTAAAGGAATGTTCAGCTCTGTTAGTTCAATGCAATGATCCTAAGGATTGTCTGTGAATGCTTCCGTTTGGTTTTTAGATGAAGTTATTTCCTTTACTACAGTAGGCCTCAAAGCAGTCCAAATCTCCAATCGCAGATTCTACAAAAAGATTGTTTACAACCTGCTCTATCTATAGGAATGTTCAACTCTGTGAGTCGAAAGCCATCATCACAAAGTAGTTTCTGAGAATGCTTCCATAAAGTTTTTATGTGAAGATTTTCCTTTTCCACCACAGGCCTCAAAGCCCTCCAAATGTCCACTTGCAGATTCTAGAAAAAGAGTGTTTCAGAGCTGCTCTGTCAAGAGGAAAGTTCAATTCTTTAAGTGGAACACAAACATCACAAAGCAGTTTCTGAGAATGCTTCTGTTTAGTTTTTCTTTGAAGATGAACCCGTGTCCAAAGAAATCTTCACAGACGTCCACATATCCACTTGCAGAATCCAAAGAAGGAGAGTTTCAAAACTGCTCCACCAACAGGATTGTTCACCTCTGTGAGTTGAATGCAGTCATCACAGGAAACATTCTGAGAATGCTTCTGTCTAGGTTTGATGTGAAGATATACCCGTTTCGAAGGAAGGCCACAAAGTGGTCCAAATATCCACTTGCAGATTCTACAAAAAGAGTGTTTGAAAGCTGAAATATGAAAGCAAGATTCAACTCTGTGAGTTGAATGCAAACGTCACAAAGAAGTTTCTGAGAATGCTTCCGTGTAGTTCTGGGAAGTTTATCCCGTTTCCAACGAAATCCTCAGAGAGGTCCAAATATCCACTTGCAGATTCTACAGAAAGTGTGTTTGGAAACTGCTCCATCTAAAGGAATGTTCAGCTCTGTTAGTTCAATCCAATGATCACTAAGAATTGTCTGTGAATGCTTCCACTTGGTTTTTAGATGAAGTTATTTCCTTTACTACTGTAGGCCTCAAAGCAGTCCAAATCTCCAATCGCAGATTCTACAAATGATTGTTTACAACCTGCTCTATCTATAGGAATGTTCAACTCTGTGAGTCGAATGCAATCATCACAAAGTAGTTTCTGAGAATGCTTCTATCTAGGTTTTATGTGAAGATATTTCCTTTTCCACCACAGGCCTCAAAGTCCTCCAAATGTCCACTTGCAGATTCTAGAAAAAGAGGGTTTCAGAGCTGTTCTGTCAAGAGGAAAGTTCAATTCTTGAAGTGGAATACAAACATCACAAAGCAGTTTCTGAGAATGCTTCTGTTTAGTTTTTCTTTGAACATGAACCCGTTTCCAAGGAAATCGTCAAAGAGGTCCACATATCCACTTGCAGATTCCAAAGAAAGAGAGGTTCAAAACTGCTCCATCAACAGGATTGTTCACCTCTGTGCGTTGAATGCAGTCATCACAGGAAACATTCTGAGAATGCTTCTGTCTAGGTTTGATGTGAAGATATACCCGTTTCGAAGGAAGGCCACAAAGTGGTCCAAATATCCACTTGCAGATTCTACAAAAAGAGTGTTTGAAAGCTGAACTATGAAAGCAAGGTTCAACTCTGTGAGTTGAATGCAAACATCACAAAGAAGTTTCTCACAATGCTTCCGTGTAGTTCTGGGAAGTTTATCCCGTTTCCAACGAAATCCTCAGAGAGGTCCAAATATCCACTTGCAGATTCTACAGAAAGTGTGTTTGGAAACTGCTCCATCTAAAGGAATGTTCAGCTCTGTTAGTTCAATCCAATGATCACTAAGAATTGTCTGTGAATGCTTCCGTTTGGTTTTTAGATGAAGTTATTTCCTTTACTACAGTAGGCCTCAAAGCAGTCCAAATCTCCAATCGCAGATTCTACAAAAAGATTGTTTACAACCTGCTCTATGTATAGGAATGTTCAACTCTGTGAGTCGAATGCAATCATCACAAAGTAGTTTCTGAGAATGCTTCCATCTAGTTTTTATGTGAAGATTTTCCTTTTCCACCACAGGCCTCAAAGCCCTCCAAATGTCCACTTGCACATTCTAGAAAAAGAGGGTTTCAGAGCTGCTCTGTCAAGAGGAAAGTTCAATTCTTGAAGTGGAACACAAACATCACAAAGCAGTTTCTGAGAATGCTTCTGTTTAGTTTTTCTGTGAAGATGAACCCGTTTCCAACGAAATCTTCACAGAGGTCCACATATCAACTTGCAGAATCCAAAGAAAGAGAGTTTCAAAACTGCTCCATCAACAGGATTGTTCACCTCTGTGAGTTGAATGCAGTCATCACAGGAAACATTCTGAGAATGCTTCTGTCTAGGTTTGATGTGAAGATATACCCGTTTCGAAGGAAGGCCACAAAGTGGTCCAAATATCCACTTGCAGATTCTACAAAAAGAGTGTTTGAAAGCTGAACTATGAAAGCAAGGTTCAACTCTGTGAGTTGAATGCAAACATCACAAAGAAGTTTCTCAGCATGCTTCCGTGTAGTTCTGGGAAGTTTATCCCGTTTCCAACGAAATCCTCAGAGAGGTCCAAATATCCAATTGCAGATTCTGACAAGAAAGTGTGTTTGGAAACTGCGCCATCTAAAGGAATGTTCAGCTCTGTTAGTTCAATGCAATGATCACTAAGAATTGTCTGTGAATGCTTCCGTTTGGTTTTTAGATGAAGTTATTTCCTTTACTACAGTAGGCCTCAAAGCAGTCCAAATCTCCAATCGCAGATTCTACAAAAAGATTGTTTACAACCTGCTCTATCTATAGGAATGTTCAACTCTGTGAGTCGAATGCAATCATCACATAGTAGTTTCTGAGAATGCTTCCATCTAGTTTTTATGTGAAGATTTTCCTTTTCCACCACAGGCCTCAAAGCCCTCCAAATGTCCACTTGCAAATTCTAGAAAAAGAGGGTTTCAGAGCTGCTCTATCAAGAGGAAAGTTCAGTTCCTGAAGTGGAACACAAACATCACAAAGCAGTATCTGAGAATGTTCCTGTTTAGTTTTTCTGTGAAGATGAACCCGTTTCCAACGAAATCTTCACAGAGGTCCACATATCAACTTGCAGAATCCAAAGAAAGAGAGTTTCAAAACTGCTCCATCAGCAGGATTGTTCACCTCTGTGAGTTGAACGCAGTCATCACAGGAAACATTCTGAGAATGCTTCTGTCTAGGTTTGATGTGAAGATATACCCGTTTCGAAGGAAGGCCACAAAGTGGTCCAAATATCCACTTGCAGATTCTACAAAAAGAGTGTTTGAAAGCTGAACTATGAAAGCAAGGTTCAACTCTGTGAGTTGAATGCAAACATCACAAAGAAGTTTCTCACAATGCTTCCGTGTAGTTCTGGGAAGTTTATCCCGTTTCCAACGAAATCCTCAGAGAAGTCCAAATATCCACTTGCAGATTCTACAGAAAGTGCGTTTGGAAAATGCTCCATCTAAAGGAATGTTCAGCTCTGTTAGTTCAATCCAATGATCACTAAGAATTGTCTGTGAATGCTTCCGTTTGGTTTTTAGATGAAGTTATTTCCTTTACTACAGTAGGCCTCAAAGCAGTCCAAATCTCCAATCGCAGATTCTACAAAAAGATTGTTTACAACCTGCTCTATCTATAGGAATGTTCAACTCTGTGAGTCGAATGCAATCATCACAAAGTAGTTTCTGAGAATGCTTCCATCTAATTTTTATGTGAAGATTTTCCTTTTCCACCACAGGCCTCAAAGCCCTCCAAATGACCACTTGCAGATTCTAGAAAAAGAGGGTTTCAGAGCTGCTCTGTCAAGAGGAAAGTTCAATTCCTGAAGTGGAACACAAACATCACAAAGCAGTTTCTGAGAATGCTCCTGTTTAGTTTTTCTGTGAAGATGAACCCGTTTCCAACGAAATCTTCACAGAGGTCCACATATCCACTTGCAGAATCCAAAGAAAGAGAGTTTCAAAACTGCTCCATCAGCAGGATGGTTCACCTCTGTGAGTTGAATGCAGTCATCACAGGAAACATTCTGAGAATGCTTCTGTCTAGGTTTGATGTGAAGATATACCCGTTTCGAAGGAAGGCCAGAAAGTGGTCCAAATATCCACTTGCAGATTCTACAAAAAGAGTGTTTGAAAGCTGAACTATGAAAGCAAGGTTCAACTCTGTGAGTTGAATGCAAACATCACAAAGAAGTTTCTCAGAATGCTTCCGTGTAGTTCTGGGAAGTTTATCCCGTTTTCAACGAAATCCCCAGAGAGGTCCAAATATCCACTTGCAGATTCTACAGAAAGTGTGTTTGGAAACTGCGCCATCTAAAGGAATGTTCAGCTCTGTTAGTTCAATGCAATGATCACTAAGAATTGTCTGTGAATGCTTCCGTTTGGTTTTTAGATGAAGTTACTTCCTTTACTACAGTAGGCCTCAAAGCAGTCCAAATCTCCAATCGCAGATTCTACAAAAATATTGTTTACAACCTGCTCTATCTATAGGAATGTTCAACTCTGTGAGTCGAATGCAATCATCACAAAGTAGTTTCTGAGAATGCTTCCATCTATTTTTTATGTGAAGATTTTCCTTTTCCACCACAGGCCTCAAAGCCCTCCAAATGTCCACTTGCAGATTCTAGAAAAAGAGGGTTTCAGAGCTGCTCTGTCAAGAGGAAAGTTCAATTCCTGAAGTGGAACACAAACATCACAAAGCAGTTTCTGAGAATGCTTCTGTTTAGTTTTTCTGTGAAGATGAACCCGTTTCCAACGAAATCTTCACAGAGGTCCACATATCCACTTGCAGAATCCAAAGAAAGAGAGTTTCAAAACTGCTCCATCAGCAGGATTGTTCACCTCTGTGAGTTGAATGCAGTCATCACAGGAAACATTCTGAGAATGCTTCTGTCTAGGTTTGATGTGAAGATATACCCGTTTCGAAGGAAGGCCACAAAGTGGTCCAAATATCCACTTGCAGATTCTACAAAAAGAGTGTTTGAAAGCTGAACTATGAAAGCAAGGTTCAACTCTGTGAGTTGAATGCAAACATCACAAAGAAGTTTCTCAGAATGCTTCCGTGTAGTTCTGGGAAGTTTAGCCCGTTTCCAACGATATCCTCAGAAAGGTCCAAATATCCACTTGCAGATGCTACAGAAAGTGTGTTTGGAAACTGCGCCATCTAAGGGAACGTTCAGCTCTGTTAGTTCAATCCAATGATCACGAAGAATTGTCTGTGAATGCTTCCGTTTGGTTTTCAGATGAAGTTATTTCCTTTACTACAGTAGGCCTCAAAGCAGTCCAAATCTCCAATCGCAGATTCTACAAAAAGATTGTTTACAACCTGCTCTATCTATAGGAATGTTCAACTCTGTGAGTCGAATGCAATCATCACAAAGTAGTTTCTGAGAATGCTTCCATCTAGTTTTTATGTGAAGATTTTCCTTTTCCACCACAGGCCTCAAAGCCCTCCAAATGTCCACTTGCAGATTCTAGAATAAGAGGGTTTCAGAGCTGCTCTGTCAAGAGGAAAGTTCAATTCCTGAAGTGGAACACAAACATCACAAAGCAGTTCTGAGAATGCTTCTGTTTAGTTTTTCTGTGAAGATGAACCCGTTTCCAACGAAATCTTCACAGAGGTCCACATATCCACTTGCAGAATCCAAAGAAAGAGAGTTTCAAAACTGCTCCATCAGCAGGATTGTTCACCTCTGTGAGTTGAATGCAGTCATCACAGGAAACATTCTGAGAATGCTTCTGTCTAGGTTTGATGTGAAGATATACCCGTTTCGAAGGAAGGCCACAAAGTGGTCCAAATATCCACTTGCAGATTCCACAAAAAGAGTGTTTGAAAGCTGAACTATGAAAGCAAGGTTCAACTCTGTGAGCTGAATGCAAACATCACAAAGAAGTTTCTCACAATGCTTCCGTGTAGTTCTGGGAAGTTTATCCCGTTTCCAACGAAATCCTCAGAGAAGTCCAAATATCCACTTGCAGATTCTACAGAAAGTGTGTTTGGAAACTGCTCCATCTAAAGGAATGTTCAGCTCTGTTAGTTCAATCCAATGATCACTAAGAATTGTCTGTGAATGCTTCCGTTTGGTTTTTAGATGAAGTTATTTAATTTACTACAGTAGGCCTCAAAGCAGTCCAAATCTCCAATCGCAGATTCTACAAAAAGATTGTTTACAACCTGCTCTATCTATAGGAATGTTCAACTCTGTGAGTCGAATGCAATCATCCCAAAGTAGTTTCTGAGAATGCTTCCATCTAGTTTTTATGTGAAGATTTTCCTTTTCCACCACAGGCCTCAAAGCCCTCCAAATGTCCACTTGCAGATTCTAGAAAAAGAGGGTTTCAGAGCTGCTATGTCAAGAGGAAAGTTCAATTCCTGAAGTGGAACACAAACATCACAAAGCAGTTTCTGAGAATGCTCCTGTTTAGTTTTTCTGTGAAGATGAACCCGTTTCCAACGAAATCTTCACAGAGGTCCACATATCCACTTGCAGAATCCAAAGAAAGAGAGTTTGAAAACTGCTCCATCAGCAGGATTGTTCACCTCTGTGAGTTGAATGCAGACATCACAGGAAACATTCTGAGAATGCTTCTGTCTAGGGTTGATGTGAAGATATACCCGTTTCGAAGGAAGGCCACAAAGTGGTCCAAATATCCACTTGCAGATTCTACAAAAAGAGTGTTTGAAAGCTGAACTATGAAAGCAAGGTTCAACTCTGTGAGTTGAATGCAAACATCACAAAGAAGTTTCTCAGAATGCTTGCCGTGTAGTTCTGGGAAGTTTATCCCGTTCCCAACGAAATCCTCAGAGAGGTCCAAATATCCACTTGCAGATTCTACAGAAAGTTTGTTTGGAAACTGCGCCATCTAAAGGAATGTTCAGCTCTGTTAGTTCAATCCAATGATCACTAAGAATTGTCTGTGAATGCTTCCGTTTGGTTTTTAGATGAAGTTATTTCCTTTACTACAGTAGGCCTCAAAGCAGTCCAAATCTCCAATCGCAGATTCTACAAAAAGATTGTTTACAACCTGCTCTATCTATAGGAATGTTCAAATCTGTGAGTCGAATGCAATGATCACAAAGTAGTTTCTGAGAATGCTTCCATCTACTTTTTATGTGAAGATTTTCCTTTTCCACCACAGGCCTCAAAGCCCTCCAAATGTCCACTTGCAGATTCTAGAAAAAGAGGGTTTCAGAGCTGCTCTGTCAAGAGGAAAGCTCAATTCTTGAAGTGGAAGACAAACATCACAAAGCAGTTTCTGAGAATGCTCCTGTTTAGTTTTTCTGTGAAGATGAACCCGTTTCCAACGAAATCTTCACAGAGGTCCACATATCCACTTGCAGAATCCAAAGAAAGAGAGTTTCAAAACTGCTCCATCAGCAGGATTGTTCACCTCAGTGAGTTGAATGCAGTCATCACAGGAAACATTCTGAGAATGCTTCTGAATAGGTTTGATGTGAAGATATACCCGTTTCGAAGGAAGGCCACAAAGTGGTCCAAATATCCACTTGCAGATTCTACAAAAAGAGTGTTTGAAAGCTGAACTATGAAAGCAAGGTTCAACTCTGTGAGTTGAATGCAAACATCACAAAGAAGTTTCTCAGAATGCTTCCGTGTAGTTCTGGGAAGTTTATCCCGTTTCCAACGAAATCCTCAGAGAAGTCCAAATATCCACTTGCAGATTCTACAGAAAGTGTGTTTGCAAACTGCGCCATCTAAGGGAATATTCAGCTCTGTTAGTTCAATCCAATGATGACTAAGAATTGTCTGTGAATGCTTCCGTTTGGTTTTTAGATGAAGTTATTTCCTTTACTACAGTAGGCCTCAAAGCAGTCCAAATTTCCAATCGCAGATTCTACAAAAAGATTGTTTACAACCTGCTCTATCTATAGGAATGTTCAACTCTGTGAGTCGAATGCAATCATCACAAAGTAGGTTCTGAGAATGCTTCCATCTAGTTTTTATGTGAAGATTTTCCTTTTCCACCACAGGCCTCAAAGCCCTCCAAATGTCCACTTGCAGATTCTAGAATAAGAGGGTTTCAGAGCTGCTCTGTCAAGAGGAAAGTTCTATTCTTGAAGTGGAACACAAACATAACAAAGCAGTTTCTGAGAATGCTTCTGCTTAGTTTTTCTGTGAAGATGAACCCGTTTCCAACGAAATCTTCACAGAGGTCCACATATCCACTTGCAGAATCCAAAGAAAGAGAGTTTCAAAACTGCTCCATCAGCAGGATTGTTCACCTCTGTGAGTTGAATGCAGTCATCACAGGAAACATTCTGAGAATGCTTCTGTCTAGGTTTGATGTGAAGATATACCCGTTTCGAAGGAAGGCCACAAAGTGGTCCAAATATCCAGTTGCAGATTCTACAAAAAGAGTGTTTGAAAGCTGAACTATGAAAGCAAGGTTCAACTCTGTGAGTTGAATGCAAACATCACAAAGAAGTTTCTCACAATGCTTCTGTCTAGGTTTGATGTGAAGATATACCCGTTTCGAAGGAAGGCCACAAAGTGGTCCAAATATCCACTTGCAGATTCTACAGAAAGTGCGTTTGGAAAATGCTCCATCTAAAGGAATGTTCAGCTCTGTTAGTTCAATCCAATGATCACTAAGAATTGTCTGTGAATGCTTCCGTTTGGTTTTTAGATGAAGTTATTTCCTTTACTACAGTAGGCCTCAAAGCAGTCCAAATCTCCAATCGCAGATTCTACAAAAAGATTGTTTACAACCTGCTCTATCTATAGGAATGTTCAACTCTGTGAGTCGAATGCAATCATCACAAAGTAGTTTCTGAGAATGCTTCCATCTAGTTTTTATGTGAAGATTTTCCTTTTCCACCACAGGCCTCAAAGCCCTCCAAATGTCCACTTGCAGATTCTAGAAAAAGAGGGTTTCAGAGCTGCTCTGTCAAGAGGAAAGTTCAATTCCTGAAGTGGAACACAAACATCACAAAGCAGTTTCTGAGAATGCTTCTGTTTAGTTTTTCTGTGAAGATGAACCCGTTTCCAACGAAATCTTCACAGAGGTCCACATATCCACTTGCAGAATCCAAAGAAAGAGAGATTCAAAACTGCTCCATCAGCAGGATTGTTCACCTCTGTGAGTTGAATGCAGTCATCACAGGAAACATTCTGAGAATGCTTCTGTCTAGGTTTGATGTGAAGATATACCCGTTTCGAAGGAAGGCCACAAAGTGGTCCAAATATCCACTTGCAGATTCTACAAAAAGAGTGTTTGAAAGCTGAACTATGAAAGCAAGGTTCAACTCTGTGAGTTGAATGCAAACATCACAAAGAAGTTTCTCACAATGCTTCCGTGTAGTTCTGGGAAGTTTATCCCGTTTCCAACGAAATCCTCAGAGAGGTCCAAATATCCACTTGCAGATTCTACAGAAAGTGTGTTTGGAAACCACGCCATCTAAAGGAATGTTCAGCTCTGTTAGATCAATGCAATGATCACTAAGAATTGTCTGTGAATGCTTCCGTTTGGTTTTTAGATGAAGTTATTTAATTTACTACAGTAGGCCTCAAAGCAGTCTAAATCTCCAATCGCAGATTCTACAAAAAGATTGTTTACAACCTGCTCTATCTATAGGAATGTTGAACTCTGTGAGTCGAATGCAATCATCACAAAGTAGTTTACTGAGAATGCTTCCATCTAGTTTTTATGTGAAGATTTTCCTTTTCCACCACAGGCCTCAAAGCCCTCCAAATGTCCACTTGCAGATTCTAGAATAAGAGGGTTTTAGAGCTGCTCTGTCAAGAGGAAAGTTCAATTCCTGAAGTGGAACACAAACATCACAAAGCAGTTTCTGAGAATGCTTCTGTTTAGTTTTTCTGTGAAGATGAACCCGTTTCCAACGAAATCTTCACAGAGGTCCACATATCCACTTGCAGAATCCAAAGAAAGAGAGTTTCAAAACTGCTCCATCAGCAGGATTGTTCACCTCTGTGAGTTGAATGCAGTCATCACAGGAAACATTCTGAGAATGCTTCTGTCTAGGTTTGATGTGAAGATATACCCGTTTCAAAGGAAGGCCACAAAGTGGTCCAAATATCCACTTGCAGATTCTACAAAAAGAGTGTTTGAAAGCTGAACTATGAAAGCAAGTTTCAACTCTGTGAGTTGAATGCAAACATCACAAAGAAGTTTCTCACAATGCTTCCGTGTAGTTCTGGGAAGTTTATCCCGTTTCCAACGAAATCCTCAGAGAGGTCCAAATATCCACTTGCAGATTCTACAGAAAGTGTGTTTGGAAACTGCTCCATCAAAAGCAATGTTCAACTCTGTTAGTTCAATCCAATGATCACTAAGAATTGTCTGTGAATGCTTCCGTTTGGTTTTTAGATGAAGTTATTTCCTTTACTACAGTAGGCCTCAAAGCAGTCCAAATCTCCAATCGCAGATTGTACAAAAAGATTGTTTACAACCTGCTCTATCTATAGGAATGTTCAACTCTGTGAGTCGAATGCAATCATCCCAAAGTAGTTTCTGAGAATGCTTCCATCTAGTTTTTATGTGAAGATTTTCCTTTTCCACCACAGGCCTCAAAGCCCTCCAAATGTCCACTTGCAGATTCTAGAATAAGAGGGTTTTAGAGCTGCTCTGTCAAGAGGAAAGTTCAATTCCTGAAGTGGAACACAAACATCACAAAGCAGTTTCTGAGAATGCTTCTGTTTAGTTTTTCTGTGAAGATGAACCCGTTTCCAACGAAATCTTCACAGAGGTCCACATATCCACTTGCAGAATCCAAAGAAAGAGAGTTTCAAAACTGCTCCATCAGCAGGATTGTTCACCTCTGTGAGTTGAATGCAGTCATCACAGGAAACATTCTGAGAATGCTTCTGTCTAGGTTTGATGTGAAGATATACCCGTTTCGAAGGAAGGCCACAAAGTGGTCCAAATATCCACTTGCAGATTCTACAAAAAGAGTGTTTGAAAGCTGAACTATGAAAGCAAGGTTCAACTCTGTGAGTTGAATGCAAACATCACAAAGAAGTTTCTCACAATGCTTCCGTGTAGTTCTGGGAAGTTTATCCCGTTTCCAACGAAATCCTCAGAGAGGTCCAAATATCCACTTGCAGATTCTACAGAAAGTGTGTTTGGAAACTGCGCCATCTAAAGGAATGTTCAGCTCTCTTAGTTCAATGCAATGATCACTAAGAATTGTCTGTGAATGCTTCCGTTTGGTTTTTAGATGAAGTTATTTCCTTTACTACAGTAGGCCTCAAAGCAGTCCAAATCTCCAATCGCAGATTCTACAAAAAGATTGTTTACAACCTGCTCTATCTATAGGAATGTTCAACTCTGTGAGTCGAATGCAATCATCACAAAGTAGTTTCTGAGAATGCTTCCATCTAGTTTTTATGTGAAGATTTTCCTTTTCCACCACAGGCCTCAAAGCCCTCCAAATGTCCACTTGCAGATTCTAGAATAAGAGGGTTTCAGAGCTGCTCTGTCAAGAGGAAAGTTCAATTCCTGAAGTGGAACACAAACATCACAAAGCAGTTTCTGAGAATGCTTCTGTTTAGTTTTTCTGTGAAGATGAACCCGTTTCCAACGAAATCTTCACAGAGGTCCACATATCAACTTGCAGAATCCAAAGAAAGAGAGTTTCAAAACTGCTCCATCAACAGGATTGTTCACCTCTGTGAGTTGAATGCAGTCATCACAGGAAACATTCTGAGAATGCTTCTGTCTAGGTTTGATGTGAAGATATACCCTTTTCAAAGGAAGGCCACAAAGTGGTCCAAATATCCACTTGCAGATTCTACAAAAAGAGTGTTTGAAAGCTGAACTATGAAAGCAAGGTTCAACTCTGTGAGTTGAATGCAAACATCACAAAGAAGTTTCTCACAATGCTTCCGTGTAGTTCTGGGAAGTTTATCCCGTTTCCAACGAAATCCTCAGAGAAGTCCAAATATCCACTTGCAGATTCTACAGAAAGTGTGTTTGGAAACTGCTCCATCTAAAGGAATGTTCAGCTCTGTTAGTTCAATCCAATGATCACTAAGAATTGTCTGTGAATGCTTCCGTTTGGTTTTTAGATGAAGTTATTTCCTTTACTACAGTAGGCCTCAAAGCAGTCCAAATCTCCAATCGCAGATTCTACAAAAAGATTGTTTACAACCTGCTCTATGTATAGGAATGTTCAACTCTGTGAGTCGAATGCAATCATCACAAAGTAGTTTCTGAGAATGCTTCCATCTAGTTTTTATGTGAAGATTTTCCTTTTCCACCACAGGCCTCAAAGCCCTCCAAATGTCCACTTGCAGATTCTAGAAAAAGAGGGTTTCAGAGCTGCTCTGTCAAGAGGAAAGTTCAATTCTTGAAGTGGAACACAAACATCACAAAGTAGTTTCTGAGAATGCTCCTGTTTAGTTTTTCTGTGAAGATGAACCCGTTTCCAACGAAATCTACACAGAGATCCACATATCCACTTGCACAATCCAAAGAAAGAGAGTTTCAAAACTGCTCCATCAGCAGGATTGTTCACCTCTGTGAGTTGAATGCAGTCATCACAGGAAACATTCTGAGAATGCTTCTGTCTAGGTTTGATGTGAAGATATACCCTTTTCAAAGGAAGGCCACAAAGTGGTCCAAATATCCACTTGCAGATTCTACAAAAAGAGTGTTTGAAAGCTGAACTATGAAAGCAAGGTTCAACTCTGTGAGTTGAATGCAAACATCACAAAGAAGTTTCTCACAATGCTTCCGTGTAGTTCTGGGAAGTTTATCCCGTTTCCAACGAAATCCTCAGAGAAGTCCAAATATCCACTTGCAGATTCTACAGAAAGTGTGTTTGGAAACAGCTCCATCTAAAGGAATGTTCAGCTCTGTTAGTTCAATCCAATGATCACTAAGAATTGTCTGTGAATGCTTCCGTTTGGTTTTTAGATGAAGTTATTTCCTTTACTGCAGTAGGCCTCAAAGCATTCCAAATCTCGAATCGCAGATTCTACAAAAAGATTGTTTACAACCTGCTCTATCTATAGGAATGTTCAACTCTGTGAGTCGAATGCAATCATCACAAAGTAGTTTCTGAGAATGCTTCCATCTAGTTTTTATGTGAAGATTATCCTTTTCAACCACAGGCCTCAAAGCCCTCCAAATGTCCACTTGCAGATTCTAGAAAAAGAGGGTTTCAGAGCTGCTCTGTCAAGAGGAAAGTTCAATTCCTGAAGTGGAACACAAACATCACAAAGCAGTTTCTGAGAATGCTCCTGTTTAGTTTTTCTGTGAAGATGAACCCGTTTCCAACGAAATCTTCACAGAGTTCCACATATCCACTTGAAGAATCAAAATAAAGGGAGTTTCAAAACGGCTCCATCAACAGGATTGTTCACCACTGTGAGTTGAATGCAGTCATCACAGGAAACATTCTGAGAATGCTTCTGTCTAGGTTTGATGTGAAGATATACCCGTTTCGAAGGAAGGCCACAAAGTGGTCCAAATATCCTCTTGCAGATTCTACAAAAAGAGTGTTTGAAAGCTGAACTATGAAAGCAAGGTTCAACTCTGTGAGTTGAATGCAAACATCACAAAGAAATTTCTCAGAATGCTTCCGTGTAGTTCTGGGAAGTTTATCCCGTTTCCAACGAAATCCTCAGAGAAGTCCAAATATCCACTTGCAGATTCTGCGGAAAGTGTGTTTGGAAACTTCTCCATCTAACGGAATGTTCAGCTCTGTTAGTTCAATCCAATGATCACTAAGAATTGTCTGTGAATGCTTCCGTTTGGTTTTTAGATGAAGTTATTTCCTTTACTACAGTAGGCCTCAAAGCAGTCCAAATCTCCAATCGCAGATTCTACAAAAACATTGTTTACAACCTGCTCTATCTATAGGAATGTTCAACTCTGTGAGTCGAATGCAATCATCACAAAGTATTTTCTGAGAATGCTTCCATCTAGTTTTTATGTGAAGATTTTCCTTTTCCACCACAGGCCTCAAAGCCCTCCAAATGTCCACTTGCAGATTCTAGAAAAAGAGGGTTTCAGAGCTGCTCTGTCAAGAGGAAAGTTCAATTCTTGAAGTGGAACACAAACATCACAAAGCAGTTTCTGAGAATGCTCCTGTTTAGTTTTTCTGTGAAGATGAACCCGTTTCCAACGAAATCTTCACAGTAGGTCCACATATCCACTTGCAGAATCCAAAGAAAGAGAGTTTCAAAACTGCTCCATCAGCAGGATTGTTCACCTCTGTGAGTTGAATGCAGTCATCACAGGAAACATTCTGAGAATGCTTCTGTCTAGGTTTGATGTGAAGATATACCCGTTTCGAAGGAAGGCCACAAAGTGGTCCAAATATCCACTTGCAGATTCTACAAAAAGAGTGTTTCAAAGCTGAACTATGAAAGCAAGGTTCAACTCTGTGAGTTGAATGCAAACATCACAAAGAAGATTCTCAGAATGCTTCCGTGTAGTTCTGGGAAGTTTATCCCGTTTCCAACGAAATCCTCAGAGAAGTCCAAATATCCACTTGCAGATTCTACAGAAAGTGTGTTTGGAAACTGCTCCATCTAAAGGAATGTTCAGCTCTGTTAGTTCAATGCAATGATCACTAAGAATTGTCTGTGAATGCTTCCGTTTGGTTTTTAGATGAAGTTATTTCCTTTACTACAGTAGGCCTCAAAGCAGTCCAAATCTCCAATCGCAGATTCTACAAAAACATTGTTTACAACCTGCTCTATCTATAGGAATGTTCAACTCTGTGAGTCGAATGCAATCATCACAAAGTAGTTTCTGAGAATGCTTCCATCTAGTTTTTATGTGAAGATTTTCCTTTTCCACCACAGGCCTCAAAGCCCTCCAAATGTCCACTTGCAGATTCTAGAATAAGAGGATTTCAGAGCTGCTCTGTCAAGAGGAAAGTTCAATTCCTGAAGTGGAACACAAACATCACAAAGCAGTTTCTGAGAATGCTCCTGTTTAGTTTTTCTGTGAAGATGAACCCGTTTCCAACGAAATCTTCACAGAGGTCCACATATCCACTTGCAGAATCCAAAGAAAGAGAGTTTCAAAACTGCTCCATCAGCAGGATTGTTCACCTCTGTGAGTTGAATGCAGTCATCACAGGAAACATTCTGAGAATGCTTCTGTCTAGGTTTGATGTGAAGATATACCCGTTTCGAAGGAAGGCCACAAAGTGGTCCAAATATCCACTTGCAGATTCTACAAAAAGAGTGTTTGAAAGCTGAACTATGAAAGCAAGGTTCAACTCTGTGAGTTGAATGCAAACATCACAAAGAAGTTTCTCACAATGCTTCCGTGTAGTTCTGGGAAGTTTATCCCGTTTCCAACGAAATCCTCAGAGAAGTCCAAATATCCACTTGCAGATTCTACAGAAAGTGTGTTTGGAAACTGCGCCATCTAAAGGAATGTTCAGCTCTGTTAGTTCAATCCAATGATCACTAAGAATTGTCTGTGAATGCTTCCGTTTGGTTTTTAGATGAAGTTATTTCCTTTACTACAGTAGGCCTCAAAGCAATCCAAATCTCCAATCGCAGATTCTACAAAAACATTGTTTACAACCTGCTCTATCTATAGGAATGTTCAACTGCTGTGAGTCGAATGCAATCATCACAAAGTAGTTTGCTGAGAATGCTTCCATCTAGTTTTTATGTGAAGATTTTCCTTTTCCACCACAGGCCTCAAAGCCCTCCAAATGTCCACTTGCAGATTCTAGAAAAAGAGGGTTTCAGAGCTGCTCTGTCAAGAGGAAAGTTCAATTCTTGAAGTGGAACACAAACATCACAAAGCAGTTTCTGAGAATGCTTCTGTTTAGTTTTTCTGTGAAGATGAACCCGTTTCCAACGAAATCTTCACAGAGGTCCACATATCAACTTGCAGAATCCAAAGAAAGAGAGTTTCAAAAGTGCTTCATCAACAGGATTGTTCACCTCTGTGAGTTGAATGCAGTCATCACAGGAAACATTCTGAGAATGCTTCTGTCTAGGTTTGATGTGAAGATATACCCGTTTCGAAGGAAGGCCACAAAGTGGTCCAAATATCCACTTGCAGATTCTACAAAAAGAGTGTTTGAAAGCTGAACTATGAAAGCAAGGTTCAACTCTGTGAGTTGAATGCAAACATCACAAAGAAGTTTCTCAGAATGCTTCCGTGTAGTTCTGGGAAGTTTATCCCGTTTCCAACGAAATCCTCAGAGAGGTCCAAATATCCACTTGCAGATTCTACAGAAAGTGTGTTTGGAAACTGCGCCATCTAAAGGAATGTTCAGCTCTGTTAGTTCAATGCAATGATCACTAAGGATTGTCTGTGAATGCTTCCGTTTGGTTTTTAGATGAAGTAATTTCCTTTACTACAGTAGGCCTCAAAGCAGTCCAAATCTCCAATCGCAGATTCTACAAAAAGATTGTTTACAACCTGCTCTATCTATAGGAATGTTCAACTCTGTGAGTCGAATGCAATCATCACAAAGAAGTTTCTGTGAATGCTTCCATCTAGTTTTTATGTGAAGATTTTCCTTTTCCACCACAGGCCTCAAAGCCCTCCAAATGTCCACTTGCAGATTCTAGAAAAAGAGGGTTTCAGAGCTGCTCTGTCAAGAGGAAAGTTCAATTCTTTAAGTGGAACACAAACATCACAAAGCAGTTTCTGAGAATGCTTCTGTTTAGTTTTTCTTTGAAGATGAACCCGTTTCCAACGAAATCTTCACAGAGGTCCACATATCAACTTGCAGAATCCAAAGAAAGAGAGTTTCAAAACTGCTCCATCAACAGGATTGTTCACCTCTGTGAGTTGAATGCAGTCATCACAGGAAACATTCTGAGAATGCTTCTCGTCTAGGTTTGATGTGAAGATATACCCGTTTCGAAGGAAGGCCACAAAGTGGTCCAAATATCCACTTGCAGATTCTTAACAAAAAGAGTGTTTGAAAGCTGAACTATGAAAGCAAGGTTCAACTCTGTGAGTTGAATGCAAACATCACAAAGAAGTTTCTCAGCATGCTTCCGTGTAGTTCTGGGAAGTTTATCCCGTTTCCAAAGAAATCCTCAGAGAGGTCCAAATATCCACTTGCAGATTCTACAGAAAGTGGGTTTGGAAACTGCTCCATCTAAAGGAATGTTCAGCTCTGTTAGTTCAATCCAATGATCACTAAGAATTGTCTGTGAATGCTTCCGTTTGGTTTTTAGATGAAGTTATTTTCTTTACTACAGTAGGCCTCAAAGCAGTCCAAATCTCCAATCGCAGATTCTACAAAAAGATTGTTTACAACCTGCTCTGTCTATAGGAATGTTCAACTCTGTGAGTCGAATGCAATCATCACAAAGTAGTTTCTGAGAATGCTTCCATCTAGTTTTTATGTGAAGAGTTTCCTTTTCCACCACAGGCCTCAAAGCCCTCCAAATGTCCACTTGCAGATTCTAGAAAAAGAGGGTTTCAGAGCTGCTCTGTCAAGAGGAAAGTTCAATTCTTGAAGTGGAACACAAACATCACAAAGCAGTTTCTGAGAATGCTTCTGTTTAGTTTTTCTGTGAAGATGAACCCGTTTCCAACGAAATCTTCACAGAGGTCCACATATCAACTTGCAGAATCCAAACAAAGAGAGTTTCAAAACTGCTCCATCAACAGGATTGTTCACCTCTGTGAGTTGAATGCAGTCATCACAGGAAACATTCTGAGAATGCTTCTGTCTAGGTTTGATGTGAAGATATACCCGTTTCGAAGGAAGGCCACAAAGTGGTCCAAATATCCACTTGCAGATTCTACAAAAAGAGTGTTTGAAAGCTGAACTATGAAAGCAAGGTTCAACTCTGTGAGTTGAATGCAAACATCACAAAGAAGTTTCTCAGAATGCTTCCGTGTAGTTCTGGGAAGTTTATCCCGTTTCCAACGAAATCCTCAGAGAGGTCCAAATATCCACTTGCAGATTCTACAGAAAGTGTGTTTGGAAACTGCGCCATCTAAAGGAATGTTCAGCTCTGTTAGTTCAATGCAATGATCACTAAGAATTGTCTGTGAATCCTTCCGTTTGGTTTTTAGATGAAGTTATTTCCTTTACTACAGTAGGCCTCAAAGCAGTCCAAATCTCCAATCGCAGATTCTACAAAAAGATTGTTTACAACCTGCTCTATCTATAGGAATGTTCAACTCTGTGAGTCGAAAGCCATCATCACAAAGTAGTTTCTGAGAATGCTTCCATCTAGTATTTATGTGAAGATTTCCCTTTTCCACCACAGGCCTCAAAGCCCTCCAAATGTCCACTTGCAGATTCTAGAAAAAGAGGGTTTCAGAGCTGCTCTGTCAAGAGGAAAGTTCAATTCCTGAAGTGGAACACAAACATCACAAAGCAGTTTCTGAGAATGCTTCTGTTTAGTTTTTCTGTGAAGATGAACCCGTTTCCAACGAAATCTTCACAGAGGTCCACATATCCACTTGCAGAATCCAAAGAAAGAGAGTTTCAAAACTGCTCCATCAGCAGGATTGTTCACCTCTGTGAGTTGAATGCAGTCATCACAGGAAACATTCTGAGAATGCTTCTGTCTAGGTTTGATGTGAAGATATACCCGTTTCGAAGGAAGGCCACAAAGTGGTCCAAATATCCACTTGCAGATTCTACAAAAAGAGTGTTTGAAAGCTGAACTATGAAAGCAAGGTTCAACTCTGTGAGTTGAATGCAAACATCACAAAGAAGTTTCTCAGAATGCTTCCCTGTAGTTCTGGGAAGTTTATCCCGTTTCCAACGAAATCCTCACAGAGGTCCAAATATCCACTTGCAGATTCTACAGAAAGTGTGTTTGGAAACTGCGCCATCTAAAGGAATGTTCAGCTCTGTTAGTTCAATGCAATGATCACTAAGAATTGTCTGTGAATGCTTCCGTTTGGTTTTTAGATGAAGTTATTTCCTTTACTGCAGTAGGCCTCAAAGCATTCCAAATCTCGAATCGCAGATTCTACAAAAAGATTGTTTACAACCTGCTCTATCTATAGGAATGTTCAACTCTGTGAGTCGAATGCAATCATCACAAAGTAGTTTCTGAGAATGCTTCCATCTAGTTTTTATGTGAAGATTTTCCTTTTCCACCACAGGCCTCAAAGCCCTCCAAATGTCCACTTGCAGATTCTAGAATAAGAGGGTTTCAGAGCTGCTCTGTCAAGAGGAAAATACAATTCCTGAAGTGGAACACAAACATCACAAAGCAGTTTCTGAGAATGCTCCTGTTTAGTTTTTCTGTGAAGATGAACCCGTTTCCAACGAAATCTTCACAGAGGTCCACATATCCACTTGCAGAATCCAAAGAAAGAGAGTTTCAAAACTGCTCCATCAGCAGGATTGTTCACCTCTGTGAGTTGAATGCAGTCATCACAGGAAACATTCTGAGAATGCTTCTGTCTAGGTTTGATGTGAAGATATACCCGTTTCCAAGGAAGGCCACAAAGTGGTCCAAATATCCACTTGCAGACTCTACAAAAGGAGTGTTTGAAAGCTGAACTATGAAAGCAAGGTTCAACTCTGTGAGTTGAATGCAAACATCACAAAGAAGTTTCTCACAATGCTGCTTCCGTGTAGTTCTGGGAAGTTTATCCCGTTTCCAACGAAATCCTCAGAGAGGTCCAAATATCCACTTGCAGATTCTACAGAAAGTGTGTTTGGAAACTGCGCCATCTAAAGGAATGTTCAGCTCTGTTAGTTCAATGCAATGATCACTAAGAATTGTCTGTGAATGCTTCCGTTTGGTTTTTAGATGAAGTTATTTCCTTTACTACAGTAGGCCTCAAAGCAGTCCAAATCTCCAATCGCAGATTCTACAAAAAGATTGTTTACAACCTGCTCTATCTATAGGAATGTTCAACTCTGTGAGTCGAATGCAATCATCACAAAGTAGTTTCTGAGAATGCTTCCATCTAGTTTTTATGTGAAGATTTTCCTTTTCCACCACAGGCCTCAAAGCCCTCCAAATGTCCACTTGCAGATTCTAGAAAAAGAGGGTTTCAGAGCTGCTCTGTCAAGAGGAAAGTTCAATTCTTGAAGTGGAACACAAACATCACAAAGCAGTTTCTTAGAATACTCCTGTTTAGTTTTTCTGTGAAGATGTACCCGTTTCCAACGAAATCTTCACAGAGGTCCACATATCCACTTGCAGAATCCAAAGAAAGAGAGTTTCAAAACTGCTCCAACAGCAGGATTGTTCACCTTCTGTGAGTTGAATGCAGTCATCACAGGAAACATTCTGAGAATGCTTCTGTCTAGGTTTGATGTGAAGATATACCCGTTTCGAAGGAAGGCCACAAAGTGGTCCAAATATCCACTTGCAGATTCTACAAAAAGAGTGTTTGAAAGCTGAACTATGAAAGCAAGGTTCAACTCTGTGAGTTGAATGCAAACATCACAAAGAAGTTTCTCACAATGCTTCCGTGTACTTCTGGGAAGTTTATCCCGTTTCCAACGAAATCCTCAGAGAAGTCCAAATATCCACTTGCAGATTCTACAGAAAGTGTGTTTGGAAACTGCGCCATCTAAAGGAAGTTCAGCTCTGTTAGTTCAATCCAATGATCACTAAGAATTGTCTGTGAATGCTTCCGTTTGGTTTTTAGATGAAGTTATTTCCTTTACTACAGTAGGCCTCAAAGCAGTCCAAATCTGCAATCGCAGATTCTACAAAAAGATTGTTTACAACCTGCTCTATCTATAGAAATGTTCAACTCTGTGAGTCGAATGCAATCATCACAAAGTAGTTTCTGAGAATGCTTCCATCTAGTTTTTATGTGAAGGTTTTCCTTTTCCACCACAGGCCTCAAAGCCCTCCAAATGTCCACTTGCAGATTCTAGAATAAGAGGGTTTCAGAGCTGCTCTGTCAAGAGGAAAGTTCAATTCCTGAAGTGGAACAGAAACATCACAAAGCAGTTTCTGAGAATGCTTCTGTTTAGTTTTTCTGTGAAGATGAACCCGTTTCCAACGAAATCTTCACAGAGGTCCACATATCCACTTGCAGAATCCAAAGAAAGAGAGTTTCAAAACTGCTCCATCAGCAGGATTGTTCACCTCTGTGAGTTGAATGCAGTCATCACAGGAAACATTCTGAGAATGCTTCTGTCTAGGTTTGATGTGAAGATATTCCCGTTTCGAAGGAAGGCCACAAAGTGGTCCAAATATCCACTTGCAGATTCTACAAAAAGAGTGTTTGGAAGCTGAACTATGAAAGCAAGGTTCAAGTCTGTGAGTTGAATGCAACATCACAAAGAAGTTTCTGAGAATGCTTCCGTGTAGTTCTGGGAAGTTTATCCCGTTTCCAACGAAATCCTCAGAGAGGTCCAAATATCCACTTGCAGATTCTACAGAAAGTGTGTTTGGAAACTACGCCATCTAAAGGAATGTTCAGCTCTGTTAGATCAATGCAATGATCACTAAGAATTGTCTGTGAATGCTTCCGTTTGGTTTTTAGATGAAGTTATTTCCTTTACTACAGTAGGCCTCAAAGCAGTCCAAATCTCCAATCGCAGATTCTACAAAATGATTGTTTACAACCTGCTCTATCTATAGGAATGTTCAACTCTGTGAGTCGAATGCAATCATCACAAAGTAGTTTCTGAGAATGCTTCCATCTAGTTTTTATGTGAAGATTTTCCTTTTCCACCACAGGCCTCAAAGCCCTCCAAATGTCCACTTGCAGATTCTAGAATAAGAGGGTTTTAGAGCTGCTCTGTCAAGAGGAAAGTTCAATTCCTGAAGTGGAACACAAACATCACAAAGCAGTTTCTGAGAATGCTTCTGCTTAGTTTTTCTGTGAAGATGAACCCGTTTCCAACGAAATCTTCACAGAGGTCCACATATCAACTTGCAGAATCCAAAGAAAGAGAGTTTCAAAACTGCTCCATCAACAGGATTGTTCACCTCTGTGAGTTGAATGCAGTCATCACAGGAAACATTCTGAGAATGCTTCTGTCTAGGTTTGATGTGAAGATATACCCGTTTCGAAGGAAGGCCACAAAGTGGTCCAAATATCCACTTGCAGATTCTACAAAAAGAGTGTTTGAAAGCTGAACTAAGAAAGCAAGGTTCAACTCTGTGAGTTGAATGCAAACATCACAAAGAAGTTTCTCAGAATGCTTCCGTGTAGTTCTGGGAAGTTTATCCCGTTTCCAACGAAATCCTCAGAGAGGTCCAAATATCCACTTGCAGATTCTACAGAAAGTGTGTTTGGAAACTGCGCCATCTAAAGGAATGTTCAGCTCTGTTAGTTCAATGCAATGATCACTAAGGATTGTCTGTGAATGCTTCCGTTTGGTTTTTAGATGAAGTTATTTCCTTTACTACAGTAGGCCTCAAAGCAGTCCAAATCTCCAATCGCAGATTCTACAAAAAGATTGTTTACAACCTGCTCTATCTATAGGAATGTTCAACTCTGTGAGTCGAATGCAATCATCACAAAGTAGTTTCTGAGAATGCTTCCATCTAGTTTTTATGTGAAGATTTTCCTTTTCCACCACAGGCCTCAAATCCCTCCAAATGTCCACATGCAGATTCTAGAAAAAGAGGGTTTCAGAGCTGCTCTCTCAAGAGGAAAGTTCAATTCCTGAAGTGGAACACAAACATCACAAAGCAGTTTCTGAGAATGCTCCTGTTTAGTTTTTCTGTGAAGATGAACCCGTTTCCAACGAAATCTTCACAGAGGTCCACATATCCACTTGCAGAATCAAAAGAAAGGGAGTTTGAAAACGGTTCCATCAACAGGATTGTTCACCTCTGTGAGTTGAATGCAGTCATCACAGGAAACATTCTGAGAATGCTTCTGTCTAGGTTTGATGTGAAGATATACCCGTTTCGAAGGAAGGCCAGAAAGTGGTCCAAATATCCACTTGCAGATTCTACAAAAAGAGTGTTTGAAAGCTGAACTATGAAAGCAAGGTTCAACTCTGTGAGTTGAATGCAAACATCACAAAGAAGTTTCTCAGAATGCTTCCGTGTAGTTCTGGGAAGTTTATCCCGTTTCCAACGAAATCCTCAGAGAAGTCCAAATATCCACTTGCAGATTCTACAGAAAGTGTGTTTGGAAACTGCGCCATCTAAAGGAATGTTCAGCTCTGTTAGTTCAATGCAATGATCACTAAGAATTGTCTGTGAATGCTTCCGTTTGGTTTTTAGATGAAGTAATTTCCCTTACTACAGTAGGCCTCAAAGGAGTCCAAATCTCCAATCGCAGATTCTACAAAAAGATTGTTTACAACCTGCTCTATCTATAGGAATGTTCAACTCTGTGAGTCGAATGCAATCATCACAAAGTAGTTTCTGAGAATGCTTCCATCTAGTTTTTATGTGAAGATTTTCCTTTTCCACCACAGGCCTCAAAGCCCTCCAAATGTCCACTTGCAGATTCTAGAATAAGAGGGTTTCAGAGCTGCTCTGTCAAGAGGAAAGTTCAATTCCTGAAGTGGAACACAAACATCACAAAGCAGTTTCTGAGAATGCTCCTGTTTAGTTTTTCTGTGAAGATGAACCCGTTTAAAACGAAATCTTCACAGAGGTCCACATATCCACTTGCAGAATCCAAAGAGAGAGAGTTTCAAAACTGCTCCATCAACAGGATTGTTCACCTCTGTGAGTTGAATGCAGTCATCACAGGAAACATTCTGAGAATGCTTCTGTCTAGGTTTGATGTGAAGATATACCCGTTTCGAAGGAAGGCCACAAAGTGGTCCAAATATCCACTTGCAGATTCTACAAAAAGAGTGTTTGAAAGCTGAACTATGAAAGCAAGGTTCAACTCTGTGAGTTGAATGCAAACATCACAAAGAAGTTTCTCAGCATGCTTCCGTGTAGTTCTGGGAAATTTATCCCGTTTCCAACGAAATCCTCAGAGAAGTCCAAATATCCACTTGCAGATTCTACAGAAAGTGGGTTTGGAAACTGCTCCATCTAAAGGAATGTTCAGCTCTGTTAGTTCAATCCAATGATCACTAAGAATTGTCTGTGAATGCTTCCGTTTGGTTTTTAGATGAAGTTATTTCCTTTACTACAGTAGGCCTCAAAGCAGTCCAAATCTCCAATCGCAGATTCTACAAAAAGATTGTTTACAACCTGCTCTATCTATAGGAATGTTCAACTCTGTGAGTCGAATGCAATCATCACAAAGTAGTTTCTGAGAATGCTTCCATCTAGTTTTTATGTGAAGATTTTCCTTTTCCACCACAGGCCTCAAAGCCCTCCAAATGTCCACTTGCAGATTCTAGAATAAGAGGGTTTCAGAGCTGCTCTGTCAAGAGGAAAGTTCAATTCCTGAAGTGGAACACAAACATCACAAAGCAGTTTCTGAGAATGCTTCTGTTTAGTTTTTCTGTGAAGATGAACCCGTTTCCAACGAAATCTTCACACAGGTCCACATATCCACTTGCAGAATCCAAAGAAAGAGAGTTTCAAAACTGCTCCATCAGCAGGATTGTTCACCTCTGTGAGTTGAATGCAGTCATCACAGGAAACATTCTGAGAATGCTTCTGTCTAGGTTTGATGTGAAGATATACCCGTTTCGAAGGAAGGCCACAAACTGGTCCAAATATCCACTTGCAGATTCTACAAAAAGAGTGTTTGAAAGCTGAACTATGAAAGCAAGGTTCAACTCTGTGAGTTGAATGCAAACATCACAAAGAAGTTTCTCAGAATGCTTCCGTGTAGTTCTGGGAAGTTTATCCCGTTTCCAACGAAATCCTCAGTAGAAGTCCAAATATCCACTTGCAGATTCTACAGAAAGTGTGTTTGGAAACTGCGCCATCTAAAGGAATGTTCAGCTCTGTTAGTTCAATCCAATGATCACTAAGTATTGTCTGTGAATGCTTCCGTTTGGTTTTTAGATGAAGTTATTTCCTTTACTACAGTAGGCCTCAAAGCAGTCCAAATCTCCAATCGCAGATTCTACAAAAAGATTGTTTACAACCTGCTCTATCTATAGGAATGTTCTACTCTGTGAGTCGAATGCAATCATCACAAAGTAGTTTCTGAGAATGCTTCCATCTAGTTTTTATGTGAAGATTTTCCTTTTCCACCACAGTCCTCAAAGCCCTCCAAATGTCCACTTGCAGATTCTAGAAAAAGAGGGTTTCAGAGCTGCTTTGTCAAGAGCAAAGTTCAATTCTTGAAGTGGAACACAAACATCACAAAGCAGTTTCTGAGAATGCTCCTGTTTAGTTTTTCTGTGAAGATGAACCCGTTTCCAACGAAATCTTCACAGAGGTCCACATATCCACTTGCAGAATCCAAAGAAAGAGAGTTGCAAAACTGCTCCATCAACAGGATTGTTCACCTCTGTGAGTTGAATGCAGTCATCACAGGAAACATTCTGAGAATGCTTCTGTCTAGGTTTGATGTGAAGATATACCCGTTTCGAAGGAAGGCCACAAAGTGGTCCAAATATCCACTTGCAGATTCTACAAAAAGAGTGTTTGAAAGCTGAACTATGAAAGCAAGGTTCAACTCTGTGTGTTGAATGCAAACATCACAAAGAAGTTTCTCAGAATGCTTCCGTGTAGTTCTGGGAAGTTTATCCCGTTTCCAACGAAATCCTCAGAGAAGTCCAAATATCCACTTGCAGATTCTACAGAAAGTGTGTTTGGAAAATGCTCCATCTAAAGGAATGTTCAGCTCTGTTAGTTCAATCCAATGATCACTAAGAATTGTCTGTGAATGCTTCCGTTTGGTTTTTAGATGAAGTTATTTCCTTTACTACAGTAGGCCTCAAAGCAGTCCAAATCTCCAATCGCAGATTCTACAAAAAGATTGTTTACAACCTGCTCTATCTATGGGAATGTTCAACTCTGTGAGTCGAATGCAATCATCACAAAGTAGTTTCTGAGAATGCTTCCATCTAGTTTTTATGTGAAGATTTTCCTTTTCCACCACAGGCCTCAAAGCCCTCCAAATGTCCACTTGCAGATTCTAGAAAAAGAGGGTTTCAGAGCTGCTCTGTCAAGAGGAAAGTTCAATTCTTGAAGTGGAACACAAACATCACAAAGTAGTTTCTGAGAATGCTTCTGTTTAGTTTTTCTCTGAAGATGAACCCGTTTCCAACGAAATCTTCACAGAGGTCCACATATCAACTTGCAGAATCCAAAGAAAGAGAGTTTCAAAAGTGCTCCATCAACAGGATTGTTCACCTCTGTGAGTTGAATGCAGTCATCACAGGAAACATTCTGAGAATGCTTCTGTCTAGGTTTGATGTGAAGATATACCCGTTTCGAAGGAAGGCCACAAAGTGGTCCAAATATCCACTTGCAGATTCTACAAAAAGAGTGTTTGAGAGCTGAACTATGAAATCAAGGTTCAACTCTGTGTGTTGAATGCAACCATCACAAAGAAGTTTCTCAGAATGCTTCCGTGTAGTTCTGGGAAGTTTATCCCGTTTCCAAAGAAATCCTCAGAGAGGTCCAAATATCCACTTGCAGATTCTACAGAAAGTGTGTTTGGAAACTACGCCATCTAAGGGAATGTTCAGCTCTGTTAGTTCAATCCAATGATCACTAAGAATTGTCTGTGAATGCTTCCGTTTGGTTTTTAGATGAAGTTATTTCCTTTACTACAGTAGGCCTCAAAGCAGTCCAAATCTCCAATCGCAGATTCTACAAAAAGATTGTTTACAACCTGCTCTATCTATAGGAATGTTCAACTCTGTGAGTCGAATGCAATCATCACAAAGTAGTTTCTGAGAATGCTTCCATCTAGTTTTTATGTGAAGATTTTCCTTTTCCACCACAGGCCTCAAAGCCCTCCAAATGACCACTTGCAGATTCTAGAAAAAGAGGGTTTCAGAGCTGCTCTGTCAAGAGGAAAGTTCAATTCTTGAAGTGGAACACAAACATCACAAAGCAGTTTCTGAAAATGCTTCTGTTTAGTTTTTCTGTGAAGATGAACCCGTTTCCAACGAAATCTTCACAGAGGTCCACATATCCAGCTGCAGAATCCAAAGAAAGAGAGTTTCAAAACTGCTCCATCAGGAGGATTGTTCACCTCTGTGAGTTGAATGCAGTTATCACAGGAAACATTCTGAGAATGCTTCTGTCTAGGTTTGATGTGAAGATATACCCGTTTCGAAGGAAGGCCACAAAGTGGTCCAAATATCCACTTGCAGATTCTACAAAAAGAGTGTTTGAAAGCTGAACTATGAAAGCAAGGTTCAACTCTGTGAGTTGAATGCAAACATCACAAAGAAGTTTCTCAGCATGCTTCCGTGTAGTTCTGGGAAGTTTATACCGTTTCCAACGAAATCCTTAGAGAAGTCCAAATATCCACTTGCAGATTCTACAGAAAGTGTGTTTGGAAACTGCTCCATCTAAAGGAATGTTCAGCTCTGTTAGTTCAATCCAATGATCACTAAGAATTGTCTGTGAATGCTTCCGTTTGGTTTTTAGATGAAGTTATTTCCTTTACTACAGTAGGCCTCAAAGCAGTCCAAATCTCCAATCGCAGATTCTACAAAAAGATTGTTTACAACCTGCTCTATCTATAGGAATGTTCAACTCTGTGAGTCGAATGCAATCATCACAAAGTAGTTTCTGAGAATGGTTCCATCTAGTTTTTATGTGAAGATTTCCCTTTTCCACCACAGGCCTCAAAGCCCTCCAAATGTCCACTTGCAGATTCTAGAAAAAGAGGGTTTCAGAGCTGCTCTGTCAAGAGGAAAGTTCAATTCCTGAAGTGGAACACAAACATCACAAAGCAGTTTCTGAGAATGCTCCTGTTTAGTTTTTCTGTGAAGATGAACCCGTTTCCAACGAAATCTTCAAAGAGGTCCACATATCCACTTGCAGAATCCAAAGAAAGAGAGTTTCAAAACTGCTCCATCAGTAGGATTGTTCACCTCTGTGAGTTGAATGCAGTCATCTCAGGAAACATTCTGAGAATGTTTCTGTCTAGGTTTGATGTGAAGATATACCCGTTTTCGAAGGAAGGCCACAAAGTGGTCCAAATATCCACTTGCAGATTCTACAAAAAGAGTGTTTGAAAGCTGAACTATGAAAGCAAGGTTCAACTCTGTGAGTTGAATGCAAACATCACAAAGAAGTTTCTCAGCATGCTTCCGTGTAGTTCTGGGAAGTTTATCCCGTTTCCAACGAAATCCTCAGAGAAGTCCAAATATCCACTTGCAGATTCTACAGAAAGTGTGTTTGGAAACTGCGCCATCTAAAGGAATGTTCAGCTCTGTTAGTTCAATGCAATGATCACTAAGAATTGTCTGTGAATGCTTCCGTTTGGTTTTTAGATGAAGTAATTTCCTTTACTACAGTAGGCCTCAAAGCAGTCCAAATCTCCAATCGCAGATTCTACAAAAAGATTGTTTACAACCTGCTCTATCTATAGGAATGTTCAACTCTGTGAGTCGAATGCAATCATCACAAAGTAGTTTTCTGAGAATGCTTCCATCTAGTTTTTATGTGAAGATTTTCCTTTTCCACCACAGGCCTCAAAGCCCTCCAAATGTCCACTTGCAGATTCTAGAATAAGAGGATTTCATAGCTGCTCTGTCAAGAGGAAAGTTCAATTCCTGAAGTGGAACACAAACATCACAAAGCAGTTTCTGAGAATGTTCCTGTTAATTTTTCTGTGAAGATGAACCCGTTTCCAACGAAATCTTCACAGAGTTCCACATATCCACTTGCAGAATCAAAAGAAAGGGAGTTTCAAAACGGCTCCATCAACAGGATTGTTCACCTCTGTGAGTTGAATGCAGTCATCACAGGAAACATTCTGAGAATGCTTCTGTCTAGGTTTGAAGTGAAGATATACCCGTTTCGAAGGAAGGCCACAAAGTGGTCCAAATATCCACTTGCAGATTCTACAAAAAGAGTGTTTGAAAGCTGAACTATGAAAGCAAGGTTCAACTCTGTGAGTTGAATGCAAACATCACAAAGAAGTTTCTCAGCATGCTTCCCTGTAGTTCTGGGAAGTTTATCCCGTTTCCAACGAAATCCTCAGAGAAGTCCAAATATCCACTTGCAGATTCTACAGAAAGTGTGTTTGGAAACTGCTCCATCTAAAGGAATGTTCAGCTCTGTTAGTTCAATCCAATGATCACTAAGAATTGTCTGTGAATGCTTCCGTTTGGTTTTTAGATGAAGTTATTTCCTTTACTACAGTAGGCCTCAAAGCAGTCCAAATCTCCAATCGCAGACTCTACAAAAAGATTGTTTACAACCTGCTCTATCTATAGGAATGTTCAACTCTGTGAGTCGAATGCAATCATCACAAAGTAGTTTCTGAGAATGCTTCCATCTAGTTTTTATGTGAAGATTTTCCTTTTCCATCACAGGCCTCAAAGCCCTCCAAATGTCCACTTGCAGATTCTAGAATAAGAGGGTTTCAGAGCTGCTCTGTCAAGAGGAAAGTTCAATTCCTGAAGTGGAACAAAAACATCACAAAGCAGTTTCTGAGAATGCTTCTGTTTAGTTTTTCTGTGAAGATGAACCCGTTTCCAACGAAATCTTCACAGAGGTCCACATATCCACTTGCAGAATCCAAAGAAAGAGAGTTTCAAAACTGCTCCATCAACAGGATTTTTCACCTCTGTGAGTTGAATGCAGTCATCACAGGAAACATTCTGAGAATGCTTCTGTCTAGGTTTGATGTGAAGATATACACGTTTCGAAGGAAGGCCACAAAGTGGTCCAAATATCCACTTGCAGATTCTACAAAAAGAGTGTTTGAAAGCTGAACTATGAAAGCAAGGTTCAACTCTGTGAGTTGAATGCAAATATCACAAAGAAGTTTCTCAGAATGCTTCCGTGTAGTTCTGAGAAGTTTATCCCGTTTCCAACGAAATCCTCAGAGAAGTCCAAATATCCACTTTCAGATTCTACAGAAAGTGTGTTTGGAAACTGCTCCATCTAAAGGAATGTTCAGCTCTGTTAGTTCAATGCAATGATCACTAAGAATTGTCTGTGAATGCTTCCGTTTGGTTTTTAGATAAAGTTATTTCCTTTACTACAGTAGGCCTCAAAGCAGTCCAAATCTCCAATCGCAGATTCTACAAAAAGATTGTTTACAACCTACTCTATCTATAGGAATGTTCAACTCTGTGAGTCGAATGCAATCATCACAAAGTAGTTTCTGAGAATGCTTCCATCTAGTATTTATGTGAAGATTTTCCATTTCCACCACAGGCCTCAAAGCCCTCCAAATGTCCACTTGCAGATTCTAGAAAAAGAGGGTTTCAGAGCTGCTCTGTCAAGAGGAAAGTTCAATTCCTGAAGTGGAACACAAATATCACAAAGCAGTTTCTGAGAATGCTCCTGTTAATTTTTCTGTGAAGATGAACCCGTTTCCAACGAAATCTTCACAGTGTTCCACATATCCACTTGCAGAATCAAAAGAAAGGGAGTTTCAAAACGGCTCCATCAACAGGATTGTTCACCTCTGTGAGTTGAATGCAGTCATCACAGGAAACATTCTGAGAATGCTTCTGTCTAGGTTTGATGTGAAGATATACCCGTTTCGAAGGAAGGCCACAAAGTGGTCCAAATATCCACTTGCAGATTCTACAAAAAGAGTGTTTGAAAGCTGAACTATGAAAGCAAGGTTCAACTCTGTGAGTTGAATGCAAACATCACAAAGAAGTTTCTCACAATGCTTCCGTGTAGTTCTGGGAAGTTTATCCCGTTTCCAACGAAATCCTCAGAGAGGTCCAAATATCCACTTGCAGATTCTACAGAAAGTGTGTTTGAAAACTGCGCCATCTAAAGGAATGTTCAGCTCTGTTAGTTCAATGCAATGATCACTAAGAATTGTCTGTGAATGCTTCCGTTTGGTTTTTAGATGAAGTTATTTCCTTTACTACAGTAGGCCTCAAAGCAGTCCAAATCTCCAATCGCAGATTCTACAAAAACATTGTTTACAACCTGCTCTATCTATAGGAATGTTCAACTCTGTGAGTCGAATGCAATCATCACAAAGTAGTTTCTGAGAATGCTTCCATCTAGTTTTTATGTGAAGATTTTCCTTTTCCACCACAGGCCTCAAAGCCCTCCAAATGTCCACTTGCAGATTCTAGAAAAAGAGGGTTTCAGAGCTGCTCTGTCAAGAGGAAAGTTTAATTCTTGAAGTGGAATACAAACATCACAAAGCAGTTTCTGAGAATGCTCCTGTTTAGTTTTTCTGTGAAGATGAACCCGTTTCCAACGAAATCTTCACAGAGGTCCACATATCCACTTGCAGAATCCAAAGAAAGAGAGTTTCAAAACTGCTCCATCAACAGGATTGTTCACCTCTGTGAGTTGAATGCTGTCATCACAGGAAACATTCTGAGAATGCTTCTGTCTAGGTTTGATGTGAAGATATACCCGTTTCGAAGGAAGGCCACAAAGTGGTCAAAATATCCACTTGCAGATTCTACAAAAAGAGTGTTTGAAAGCTGAACTATGAAAGCAAGGTTCAACTCTGTGAGTTGAATGCAAACATCACAAAGAAGTTTCTCAGAATGCTTTCCGTTTAGTTCTGGGAAGTTTATCCCGTTTCCAACGAAATCCTCAGAGAAGTCCAAATATCCACTTGCAGATTCTACAGAAAGTGTGTTTGGAAACTGCTCCATCTAAAGGAATGTTCAGCTCTGTTAGTTCAATCCAATGATCACTAAGAATTGTCTGTGAAAGCTTCCGTTTGGTTTTTAGATGAAGTTATTTCCTTTACTACAGTAGGCCTCAAAGCAGTCCAAATCTCCAATCGCAGATTCTACAAAAAGATTGTTTACAACCTGCTCTATCTATAGGAATGTTCAACTCTGTGAGTCGAATGCAATCATCACAAATTAGTTTCTGAGAATGCTTCCATCTAGTTTTTATGTGAAGATTTTCCTTTTCCACCACAGGCCTCAAAGCCCTCCAAATGTCCACTTGCACACTCTAGAAAAAGAGGGTTTCAGAGCTGCTCTGTCAAGAGGAAAGTTCAATTCCTGAAGTGGAACACAAACATCACAAAGCAGTTTCTGAGAATGCTCCTGTTTAGTTTTTCTGTGAAGATGAATCCGTTTCCAACGAAATCTTCACAGAGATCAACATATCCACTTGCAGAATCCAAAGAAAGAGAGTTTCAAAACTGCTCCATCAGCAGGATTGTTCACCTCTGTGAGTTGAATGCAGTCATCACAGGAAACATTCTGAGAATGCTTCTGTCTAGGTTTGATGTGAAGATATACCCGTTTCGAAGGAAGGCCACAAAGTGGTCCAAATATCCACTTGCAGATTCTACAAAAAGAGTGTTTGAAAGCTGAACTATGAAAGCAAGGTTCAACTCTGTGAGTTGAATGCAAACATCACAAAGAAGTTTCTCAGAATGCTTCCCTGTAGTTCTGGGAAGCATATCCCGTTTCCAACGAAATCCTCAGAGAAGTCCAAATATCCACTTGCAGATTCTACAGAAAGTGGGTTTGGAAACTGCTCCATCTAAAGGAATGTTCAGCTCTGTTAGTTCAATGCAATGATCACTAAGAATTGTCTGTGAATGCTTCCGTTTGGTTTTTAGATGAAGTTATTTCCTTTACTACAGTAGGCCTCAAAGCAGTCCAAATCTCCAATCGCAGATTCTACAAAAAGATTGTTTACAACCTGCTCTATGTATAGGAATGTTCAACTCTGTGAGTCGAATGCAATCATCACAAAGTAGTTTCTGAGAATGCTTCCATCTAGTTTTTATGTGAAGATTTTCCTTTTCCACCACAGGCCTCAAAGCCCTCCAAATGTCCACTTGCAGATTCTAGAAAAAGAGGGTTTCAGAGCTACTCTGTCAAGAGGAAAGTTCAATTGCTGAAGTGGAACACAAACATCACAAAGCAGTTTCTGACAATGCTTCTGTTTAGTTTTTCTGTGAAGATGAACCCGTTTCCAACGAAATCTTCACAGAGGTCCACATATCCACTTGCAGAATCCAAAGAAAGAGAGTTTCAAAACTGCTCCATCAGCAGGATTGTTCACCTCTGTGAGTTGAATGCAGTCATCACAGGAAACATTCTGAGAATGCTTCTGTCTAGGTTTGATGTGAAGATATACCCGTTTCGAAGGAAGGCCACAAAGTGGTCCAAATATCCACTTGCAGATTCTACAAAAAGAGTGTTTGAAAGCTGAACTATGAAAGCAAGGTTCAACTCTGTGAGTTGAATGCAAACGTCACAAAGAAGTTTCTCAGAATGCTTCCGTGTAGTTCTGGGAAGTTTATCCCGTTTCCAACGAAATCCTCAGAGAAGTCCAAATATCCACTTGCAGATTCTACAGAAATTGTGTTTGGAAACTGCTCCATCTAAAGGAGTGTTCAGCTCTGTTAGTTCAATCCAATGATCACTAAGAATTGTCTGTGAATGCTTCCGTTTGGTTTTTAGATGAAGTTATTTCCTTTACTACAGTAGGCCTCAAAGCAGTCCAAATCTCCAATCGCAGATTCTACAAAAAGATTGTTTACAACCTGCTCTATCTATAGGAATGTTCAACTCTGTGAGTCGAATGCAATCATCACAAAGTAGTTTCTGAGAATGCTTCCATCTAGTTTTTATGTGAAGATTTTCCTTTTCCACCAGAGGCCTCAAAGCCCTCCAAATGTCCACTTGCAGATTCTAGAATAAGAGGGTTTCAGAGCTGCTCTGTTAAGAGGAAAGTTCAATTCCTGAAGTGGAACACAAACATCACAAAGCAGTTTCTGAGAATGCTTCTGTTTAGTTTTTCTTTGAAGATGAACCCGTTTCCAAGGAAATCGTCAAAGAGGTCCACATATCCACTTGCAGATTCCAAAGAAAGAGAGGTTCAAAACTGCTCCATCAACAGGATTGTTCACCTCTGTGCGTTGAATGCAGTCATCACAGGAAACATTCTGAGAATGCTTCTGTCTAGGTTTGATGTGAAGATATACCCGTTTCGAAGGAAGGCCACAAAGTGGTCCAAATATCCACTTGCAGATTCTACAAAAAGAGTGTTTGAAAGCTGAACTATGAAAGCAAGGTTCAACTCTGTGAGTTGAATGCAAACATCACAAAGAAGTTTTTCAGAATGCTTCCGTGTAGTTCTGGGAAGTTTATCCCGTTTCCAACGAAATCCTCAGAGAAGTCCAAATATCCACTTGAAGATTCTACAGAAAGTGTGTTTGGAAACTGCTCCATCTAAAGGAATGTACAGGTCTGTTAGTTCAATCCAATGATCACTAAGAATTGTCTGTGAATGCTTCCGTTTTGTTTTTAGATGAAGTTATTTCCTTTACTACAGTAGGCCTCAAAGCAGTCCAAATCTCCAATCTCAGATTCTACAAAAAGATTGTTTACAACCTGCTCTATCTATAGGAATGTTCAACTCTGCGAGTCGAATGCAATCATCACAAAGTAGTTTCTGAGAATGCTTCCATCTAGTTTTTATGTGAAGATTTTCCTTTTCCACCACAGGCCTCAAAGCCCTCCAAATGTCCACTTGCAGATTCTAGAAAAAGAGGGTTTCAGAGCTGCTCTGTCAAGAGGAAAGTTCAATTCTTGAAGTGGAACACAAACATCACAAAGCAGTTTCTGAGAATGCTCCTGTTTATTTTTTCTGTGAAGATGAACCCGTTTCCAACGAAATCTTCACAGAGGTCCACATATCCACTTGCAGAATCCAAAGAAAGAGAGTTTCAAAACTGCTCCATCAGCAGGATTTTTCACCTCTGTGAGTTGAATGCAGTCATCACAGGAAACATTCTGAGAATGCTTCTGTCTAGGTTTGATGTGAAGATATACCCGTTTCGAAGGAAGGCCACAAAGTGGTCCAAATATCCACTTGCAGATTCTACAAAAAGAGTGTTTGAAAGCTGAACTATGAAAGCAAGGTTCAACTCTGTGAGTTGAATGCAAACATCACAAAGAAGTTTCTCAGAATGCTTCCGTGTAGTTCTGGTAAGTTTATCCCGTTTCCAACGAAATCCTCAGAGAAGTCCAAATATCCAATTGCAGATTCTACAGAAAGTGTGTTTGGAAACTGCGCCGTCTAAAGCAATGTTCAGCTCTGTTAGTTCAATGCAATGATCACTAAGAATTGTCTGTGAATGCTTCCGTTTGGTTTTTAGATGAAGTTATTTCCTTTACTACAGTAGGCCTCAAAGCAGTCCAAATCTCCAATCGCAGATTCTACAAAAAGATTGTTTACAACCTGCTCTATCTATAGGAGTGTTCAACTCTGTGAGTCGTTGCAATCATCACAAAGTAGTTTCTGAGAATGCTTCCATCTAGTTTTTATGTGAAGATTTTCCTTTTCCACCACAGGCCTCAAAGCCCTCCAAATGTCCACTTGCAGATTCTAGAATAAGAGGGTTGCAGAGCTGCTCTGTCAAGAGGAAAGTTCAATTCCTGAAGTGGAACACAAACATCACAAAGCAGTTTCTGAGAATGCTCCTGTTTAGTTTTTCTGTGAAGATGAACCCGTTTCCAACGAAATCTTCACAGAGGTCCACATATCCACTTGCAGAATCCAAAGAAAGAGAGTTTCAAAACTGCTCCATCAACAGGATGGTTCACCTCTGTGAGGTGAATGCAGTCATCACAGGAAACATTCTGAGAATGCTTCTGTCTAGGTTTGATGTGAAGATATACCCGTTTCGAAGGAAGGCCACAAAGTGGTCCAAATATCCACTTGCAGATTCTACAAAAAGAGTGTTTGAAAGCTGAACTATGAAAGCAAGGTTCAACTCTGTGAGTTGAATGCAAACATCACAAAGAAGTTTCTCAGAATGCTTCCGTGTAGTTCTGGGAAGTTTATCCTGTTTCCAACGAAATCCTCAGAGAGGTCCAAATATCCAGTTGCAGATTCTACAGAAAGTGTGTTTGGAATCTGCTCCATCTAAAGGAATGTTCAGCTCTGTTAGTTCAATCCAATGATCACTAAGAATTGTCTGTGAATGCTTCCGTTTGGTTTTTAGATGAAGTTATTTCCTTTACTACAGTAGGCCTCAAAGCAGTCCAAATCTCCAATCGCAGATTCTACAAAAAGATTGTTTACAACCTGCTCTATCTGTAGGGAAGTTCAACTCTGTGAGTCGAATGCAATCATCACAAAGGAGTTTCTGAGAATGCTTCCATCTAGTTCTTATGTGAAGATTTTCCTTTTCCACCACAGGCCTCAAAGCCCTCCAAATGTCCACTTGCAGATTCTAGAAAAAGAGGGTTTCAGAGCTGCTCTGTCAAGAGGAAAGTTCAATTCCTGAAGTGGAACACAAACATCACAAAGCAGTTTCTGAGAATGCTTCTGTTTAGTTTTTCTGTGAAGATGAACCCGTTTCCAACGAAATCTTCACAGAGGTCCACATATCAACTTGCAGAATCCAAAGAAAGAGAGTTTCAAAAGTGCTCCATCAACAGGATTGTTCACCTCTGTGAGTTGAATGCAGTCATCACAGGAAACATTCTGAGAATGCTTCTGTCTAGGTTTGATGTGAAGATATACCCGTTTCGAAGGAAGGCCTCAAAGTGGTCCAAATATCCACTTGCAGATTCTAAAAATAGAGTGTTTGAAAGCTGAACTATAAAAGGAAGGTTCAACTCTGTGAGTTGAATGCAAACGTGACAAAGAAGTTTCTGAGAATGCTTCCGTGTAGTTCTGGGAAGTTTATCACATTTCCAACGAAATCCTCAGAGAGGTCCAAATATCCACTTGCAGATTCTACAGAAAGTGTGTTTGAAAACTGTGCCATCTAAAGGAATGTTCAGCTCTGTTAGTTCAATCCAATGATCACTAAGAATTGTCTGTGAATGCTTCCGTTTGGTTTTTAGATGAAGTTATTTCCTTTACTACAGTAGGCCTCAAAGCAGTCCAAATCTCCAATCGCAGATTCTACAAAAAGATTGTTTACAACCTGCTCTATCTATAGGAATGTTCAACTCTGTGAGTCGAATGCAATCATCACAAAGTAGTTTCTGAGAATGCTTCCATCTAGTTTTTATGTGAAGATTTTCCTTTTCCACCACAGGCCTCAAAGCCCTCCAAATGTCCACTTGCAGATTCTAGAAAAAGAGGGTTTCAGAGCTGCTCTGTCAAGAGGAAAGTTCAATTCTTGAAGTGGAACAGAAACATCACAAAGCAGTTTCTGAGAATGCTTCTGTTTAGTTTTTCTGTGAAGATGAACCCGTTTCCAACGAAATCTTCACAGAGGTCCACATATCCACTTGCAGAATCCAAAGAAAGAGAGTTTCAAAACTGCTCCATCAGCAGGATTGTTCACCTCTATGAGTTGAATGCAGTCATCACAGGAAACATTCTGAGAATGCTTCTGTCTAGGTTTGATGTGAAGATATACCCGTTTCGAAGGAAGGCCACAAAGTGGTCCAAATATCCACTTGCAGATTCTACAAAAAGAGTGTTTGAAAGCTGAACTATGAAAGCAAGGTTCAACTCTGTGAGTTGAATGCAAACATCACAAAGAAGTTTCTCAGCATGCTTCCGTGTAGTTCTGGGAAGTTTATCCCGTTTCCAACGAAATCCTCAGAGAGGTCCAAATATCCACTTGCAGATTCTACAGAAAGTGTGTTTGGAAACTGCGCCATCTAAAGGAATGTTCAGCTCTGTTAGTTCAATGCAATGATCACTAAGGATTGTCTGTGAATGCTTCCGTTTGGTTTTTAGATGAAGTTATTTCCTTTACTACAGTAGGCCTCAAAGCAGTCCAAATCTCCAATCGCAGATTCTACAAAAAGATTGTTTACAACCTGCTCTATCTATAGGAATGTTCAACTCTGTGAGTCGAATGCAATCATCACAAAGTAGTTTCTGAGAATGCTTCCATCTAGTTTTTATGTGAAGATTTTCCTTTTCCACCACAGGCCTCAAAGCCCTCCAAATGTCCACTTGCAGATTCTAGAAAAAGAGGGTTTCAGAGCTGCTCTGTCAAGAGGAAAGTTCAATTCTTGAAGTGGAACACAAACATCACAAAGTAGTTTCTGAGAATGCTTCTGTTTAGTTTTTCTGTGAAGATGAACCCGTTTCCAACGAAATCTTCACAGAGGTCCACATATCCACTTGCAGAATCCAAAGAAAGAGAGTTTCAAAACTGCTCCATCAGCAGGATTGTTCACCTCTGTGAGTTGAATGCAGTCATCACAGGAAACATTCTGAGAATGCTTCTGTCTAGGTTTGATGTGAAGATATACCCGTTTCGAAGGAAGGCCACAAAGTGGTCCAAATATCCACTTGCAGATTCTACAAAAAGAGTGTTTGAAAGCTGAACTATGAAAGCAAGGTTCAACTCTGTGAGTTGAATGCAAACATCACAAAGAAGTTTCTCACAATGCTTCCGTGTAGTTCTGGGAAGTTTATCCCGTTTCCAACGAAATCCTCAGAGAAGTCCAAATATCCACTTGCAGATTCTACAGAAAGTGTGTTTGGAAACTGCTCCATCTAAAGGAATGTTCAGCTCTGTTAGTTCAATCCAATGATCACTAAGAATTGTCTGTGAATGCTTCCGTTTGGTTTTTAGATGAAGTTATTTCCTTTACTACAGTAGGCCTCAAAGCAATCCAAATCTCCAATCGCAGATTCTACAAAAACATTGTTTACAACCTGCTCTATCTATAGGAATGTTCAACTCTGTGAGTCGAATGCAATCATCACAAAGTAGTTTCTGAGAATGCTTCCATCTAGTTTTTATGTGAAGATTTTCCTTTTCCACCACAGGCCTCAAAGCCCTCCAAATGTCCACTTGCAGATTCTAGAAAAAGAGGGTTTCAGAGCTGCTCTGTCAAGAGGAAAGTTCAATTCTTGAAGTGGAACACAAACATCACAAAGCAGTTTCTGAGAATGCTTCTGTTTAGTTTTTCTGTGAAGATGAACCCGTTTCCAACGAAATCTTCACAAAGGTCCACATATCAACTCGCAGAATCCAAAGAAAGAGAGTTTCAAAACTGCTCCATCAACAGGATTGTTCACCTCTGTGAGTTGAATGCAGTCATCACAGGAAACATTCTGAGAATGCTTCTGTCTAGGTTTGATGTGAAGATATACCCGTTTCGAAGGAAGGCCACAAAGTGGTCCAAATATCCACTTGCAGATTCTACAAAAAGAGTGTTTGAAAGCTGAACTATGAAAGCAAGGTTCAACTCTGTGAGTTGAATGCAAACATCACAAAGAAGTTTCTCAGAATGCTTCCGTGTAGTTCTGGGAAGTTTATCCCGTTTCCAACGAAATCCTCAGAGAGGTCCAAATATCCAGTTGCAGATTCTACAGAAAGTGTGTTTGGAAAGTGCGCCATCTAAAGGAATGTTCAGCTCTGTTAGTTCAATCCAATGATCACTAAGAATTGTCTGTGAATGCTTCCGTTTGGTTTTTAGATGAAGTTATTTCCTTTACTACAGTAGGCCTCAAAGCAGTCCAAATCTCCAATCGCAGATTCTACAAAAAGATTGTTTACAACCTGCTCTATCTATAGGAATGTTCAACTCTGTGAGTCGAATGCAATCATCACAAAGGAGTTTCTGAGAATGCTTCCATCTAGTTTTTATGTGAAGATTTTCCTTTTCCACCACAGGCCTCAAAGCCCTCCAAATGTCCACTTGCAGATTCTAGAATAAGAGGGTTTTAGAGCTGCTCTGTCAAGAGGAAAGTTCAATTCCTGAAGTGGAACACAAACATCACAAAGCAGTTTCTGAGAATGCTTCTGTTTAGTTTTTCTGTGAAGATGAACCCGTTTCCAACGAAATCTTCACAGAGGTCCACATATCAACTTGCAGAATCCAAAGAAAGAGAGTTTCAAAACTGCTCCATCAACAGGATTGTTCACCTCTGTGAGTTGAATGCAGTCATCACAGGAAACATTCTGAGAATGCTTCTGTCTAGGTTTGAAGTGAAGATATACCCGTTTCGAAGGAAGGCCACAAAGTGGTCCAAATATCCACTTGCAGATTCTACAAAAAGAGTGTTTGAAAGCTGAACTATGAAAGCAAGGTTCAACTCTGTGAGTTGAATGCAAACATCACAAAGAAGTTTCTCAGCATGCTTCCGTTTAGTTCTGGGAAGTTTATCCCGTTTCCAACGAAATCCTCAGAGAGGTCCAAATATCCACTTGCAGATTCTACAGAAAGTGGGTTTGGAAACTGCTCCATCTAAAGGAATGTTCAGCTCTGTTAGTTCAATGCAATGATCACTAAGAATTGTCTGTGAATGCTTCCGTTTGCTTTTTAGATGAAGTTATTTCCTTTACTACAGTAGGCCTCAAAGCAGTCCAAATCTCCAATCGCAGATTCTACAAAAAGATTGTTTTCAACCTGCTCTATCTATGGGAATGTTCAACTCTGTGAGTCGAATGCAATCATCACAAAGTAGTTTCTGAGAATGCTTCCATCTAGTTTTTATGTGAAGATTTTCCTTTTCCACCACAGGCCTCAAAGCCCTCCAAATGTCCACTTGCAGATTCTAGAAAAAGAGGGTTTCAGAGCTGCTCTGTCAAGAGGAAAGTTCAATTCTTTAAGTGGAACACAAACATCACAAAGCAGTTTCTGAGAATGCTTCTGTTTAGTTTTTCTGTGAAGATGAACCCGTTTCCAACGAAATCTTCACAGAGGTCCACATATCCACTTGCAGAATCCAAAGAAAGAGAGTTTCAAAACTGCTCCATCAACAGGATTGTTCACCTCTGTGAGTTGAATGCAGTCATCACAGGAAACATTCTGAGAATGCTTCTGTCTAGGTTTGATGTGAAGATATACCCGTTTCGAAGGAAGGCCACAAAGTGGTCCAAATATCCACTTGCAGATTCTACAATAAGAGTGTTTGAAAGCTGAACTATGAAAGCAAGGTTCAACTCTGTGAGTTGAATGCAAACATCACAAAGAAGTTTCTCACAATGCTTCTGTGTAGTTCTGGGAATTTATCCCGTTTCCAACGAAATCCTCAGAGAGGTCCAAATATCCACTTGCATATCCTACAGAAAGTGTGTTTGGAAACTGCGCCATCTAAAGGAATGTTCAGCTCTCTTAGTTCAATCCAATGATCACAAAGTATTGTCTGTGAATGCTTCCGTTTGGTTTTTAGATGAAGTTATTTCCTTTACTACAGTAGGCCTCAAAGCAGTCCAAATCTCCAATCGCAGATTCTACAAAAAGATTGTTTACAACCTGCTCTATCTATAGGAATGTTCAACTCTGTGAGTCGAATGCAATCATCACAAAGGAGTTTCTGAGAATGCTTCCATCTAGTTTTTATGTGAAGATTTTCCTTTTCCACCACAGGCCTCAAAGCCCTCCAAATGTCCACTTGCAGATTCTAGAATAAGAGGGTTTCAGAGCTGCTCTGTCAAGAGGAAAGTTCAATTCCTGAAGTCGAACACAGACATCACACAGCAGTTTCTGAGAATGCTCCTGTTTAGTTTTTCTGTGAAGATGAACCCGTTTCCAACGAAATCTTCACAGAGGTCCACATATCCACTTGCAGAATCCAAAGAAAGAGAGTTTCAAAACTGCTCCATCAGCAGGATTGTTCACCTCTGTGAGTTGAATGCAGTCATCACAGGAAACATTCTGAGAATGCTTCTGTCTAGGTTTGATGTGAAGATATACCCGTTTCGAAGGAAGGCCACAAAGTGGTCCAAATATCCACTTGCAGATTCTACAAAAAGAGTGTTTGAAAGCTGAACTATGAAAGCAAGGTTCAACTCTGTGAGTTGAATGCAAACATCACAAAGAAGTTTCTCACAATGCTTCCGTGTAGTTCTGGGAAGTTTATCCCGTTTCCAACGAAATCCTCAGAGAAGTCCAAATATCCACTTGCAGATTCTACAGAAAGTGGGTTTGGAAACTGCTCCATCTAAAGGAATGTTCAGCTCTGTTAGTTCAATCCAATGATCACTAAGAATTGTCTGTGAATGCTTCCGTTTGGTTTTTAGATGAAGTTATTTCCTTTACTACAGTAGGCCTCAAAGCAGTCCAAATCTCCAATCGCATATTCTACAAAAAGATTGTTTACAACCTGCTCTATCTATAGGAATGTTCAACCCTGTGAGTCGAATGCAATCATCACAAAGTAGTTTCTGAGAATGCTTCCATCTAGTTTTTATGTGAAGATTTTCCTTTTCCACCACAGGCCTCAAAGCCCTCCAAATGTCCACTTGCAGATTCTAGAAAAAGAGGGTTTCAGAGCTGCTCTGTCAAGAGGAAAGTTCAATTCTTCAAGTGGAACACAAACATCACAAAGCAGTTTCTGAGAATGCTCCTGTTTAGTTTTTCTGTGAAGATGAACCCGTTTCCAACGAAATCTTCACAGAGGTCCACATATCCACTTGCAGAATCCAAAGAAAGAGAGTTTCAAAACTGCTCCATCAGCAGGATTGTTCACCTCTGTGAGTTGAATGCAGTCATCACAGGAAACATTCTGAGAATGCTTCTGTCTAGGTTTGATGTGAAGATATACCCGTTTCGAAGGAAGGCCACAAAGTGGTCCAAATATCCACTTGCAGATTCTACAAAAAGAGTGTTTGAAAGCTGAACTATGAAAGCAAGGTTCAACTCTGTGAGTTGAATGCAAACATCACAAAGAAGTTTCTCAGAATGCTTCCGTGTAGTTCTGGGAAGTTTATCCCGTTTCCTACGAAATCCTCAGAGAGGTCCAAATATCCACTTGCAGATTCTACAGAAAGTGTGTTTGGAAACTGCGCCATCTAAAGGAATTTTCAGCTCTGTTAGTTCAATCTAATGATCACTAAGAATTGTCTGTGAATGCTTCCGTTTGGTTTTTAGATGAAGTTATTTCCTTTACTACAGTAGGCCTCAAAGCAGTCCAAATTTCCAATCGCAGATTCTACAAAAAGATTGTTTACAACCTGCTCTATCTATAGGAATGTTCAACTCTGTGAGTCGAATGCAATCATCACAAAGTAGTTTCTGAGAATGCTTCCATCTAGTTTTTATGTGAAGATTTTCCTTTTCCACCACAAGCCTCAAAGCCCTCCAAATGCCCACTTGCAGATTCTAGAAAAAGAGGGTTTCAGAGCTGCTCTGTCAAGAGGAAAGTTCAATTCTTGAAGTGGAACACAAACATCACAAAGCAGTTTCTGAGAATGCTCCTGTTTAGTTTTTCTGTGAAGATGAACCCGTTTCCAACGAAATCTTCACAGAGGTCCACATATCCACTTGCAGAATCCAAAGAAAGAGAGTTTCAAAACTGCTCCATCAGCAGGATTGTTCACCTCTGTGAGTTGAATGCAGTCATCACAGGAAACATTCTGAGAATGCTTCTGTCTATGTTTGATGTGAAGATATACCCGTTTCGAAGGAAGGCCACAAAGTGGTCCAAATATCCACTTGCAGATTCCACAAAAAGAGTGTTTGAAAGCTGAACTATGAAAGCAAGGTTCAACTCTGTGAGTTGAATGCAAACATCACAAAGAAGTTTCTCACAATGCTTCCGTGTAGTTCTGGGAAGTTTATCCCGTTTCCAACGAAATCCTCAGAGAAGTCCAAATATCCACTTGCAGATTCTACAGAAAGTGGGTTTGGAAACTGCTCCATCTAAAGGAATGTTCAGCTCTGTTAGTTCAATCCAATGATCACTAAGAATTGTCTGTGAATGCTTCCGTTTGGTTTTTAGATGAAGTTATTTCCTTTACTACAGTAGGCCTCAAAGCAGTCCAAATCTCCAATCGCAGATTCTACAAAAAGATTGTTTACAACCTGCTCTATCTATAGGAATGTTCAACTCTGTGAGTCGAATGCAATCATCACAAAGTAGTTTCTGAGAATGCTTCCATCTAGTTTTTATGTGAAGATTTTCCTTTTCCACCACAGGCCTCAAAGCCCTCCAAATGTCCACTTGCAGATTCTAGAAAAAGAGGGTTTCAGAGCTGCTCTGTCAAGAGGAAAGTTGAATTCCTGAAGTGGAACACAAACATCACAAAGCAGTTTCTGAGAATGCTCCTGTTTAGTTTTTCTGTGAAGATGAACCCGTTTCCAACGAAATCTTCACAGAGGTCCACATATCCACTTGCAGAATCCAAAGAAAGAGAGTTTCAAAACTGCTCCATCAACAGGATTGTTCACCTCTGTGAGTTGAATGCAGTCATCACAGGACACATTCTGAGAATGCTTCTGTCTAGGTTTGATGTGAAGATATACCCGTTTCGAAGGAAGGCCACAAAGTGGTCCAAATATCCACTTGCAGATTCTACAAAAAGAGTGTTTGATAGCTGAACTATGAAAGCAAGGTTCAACTCTGTGAGTTGAATGCAAACATCACAAAGAAGTTTCTCAGAATGCTTCCCTGTAGTTCTGGGAAGTTTATCCCGTTTCCAACGAAATCCTCAGAGAAGTCCAAATATCCACTTGCAGATTCTACAGAAAGTGTGTTTGGAAACTGCTCCATCTAAAGGAATGTTCAGCTCTGTTAGTTCAATCCAATGATCACTAAGAATTGTCTGTGAATGCTTCCGTTTGGTTTTTAGATGAAGTTATTTCCTTTACTACAGTAGGCCTCAAAGCAGTCCAAATCTCCAATCGCAGATTCTACAAAAAGATTGTTTACAACCTGCTCTATCTATAGGAATGTTCAACTCTGTGAGTCGAATGCAATCATCCCAAAGTAGTTTCTGAGAATGCTTCCATCTAGTTTTTATGTGAAGATTTTCCTTTTCCACCACAGGCCTCAAAGCCCTCCAAATGTCCACTTGCAGATTCTAGAAAAAGAGGGTTTCAGAGCTGCTCTGTCAAGAGGAAAGTTCAATTCCTGAAGTGGAACACAAACATCACAAAGCAGTTTCTGAGAATGCTTCTGTTTAGTTTTTCTGTGAAAATGAACCCGTTTCCAACGAAATCTTCACAGAGGTCCACATATCCACTTGCAGAATCCAAAGAAAGAGAGATTCAAAACTGCTCCATCAACAGGATTGTTCACCTCTGTGAGTTGAATGCAGTCATCACATGAAACATTCTGAGAATGCTTCTGTCTAGGTTTGATGTGAAGATATACCCGTTTCGAAGGAAGGCCACAAAGTGGTCCAAATATCCACTTGCAGATTCTACAAAAAGAGTGTTTGAAAGCTGAACTATGAAAGCAAGGTTCAACTGTGTGAGTTGAATGCAAACATCACAAAGAATTTTCTCACAATGCTTCCGTGTAGTTCTGGGAAGTTTATCCCGTTTCCAACGAAATCCTCAGAGAAGTCCAAATATCCACTTGCAGATTCTACAGAAAGTGTGTTTGGAAACTGCGCCATCTAAAGGAATGTTCAGCTCTGTTAGTTCAATGCAATGATCACTAAGAATTGTCTGTGAATGCTTCCGTTTGGTTTTTAGATGAAGTTATTTCCTTTACTACAGTAGGCCTCAAAGCAGTCCAAATCTCCAATCGCAGATTCTACAAAAACTTTGTTTACAACCTGCTCTATCTATAGGAATGTTCAACTCTGTGAGTCGAATGCAATCATCACAAAGTAGTTTCTGAGAATGCTTCCATCTAGTTTTTATGTGAAGATTTTCCTTTTCCACCACAGGCCTCAAAGCCCTCCAAATGTCCACTTGCAGATTCTAGAATAAGAGGGTTTCAGAGCTGCTCTGTCAAGAGGAAAGTTCAATTCCTGAAGTGGAACACAAACATCACAAAGCAGTTTCTGAGAATGCTTCTGTTTAGTTTTTCTGTGAAGATGAACCCGTTTCTAACGAAATCTTCACAGAGGTCCACATATCCACTTGCAGAATCCAAAGAAAGAGAGTTTCAAAACTACTCCATCAGCAGGATTGTTCACCTCCTGTGAGTTGAATGCAGTCATCACAGGAAACATTCTGAGAATGCTTCTGTCTAGGTTTGATGTGAAGATATACCCGTTTCGAAGGAAGGCCACAAAGTGGTCCAAATATCCACTTGCAGATTCTACAAAAAGAGTGTTTGAAAGCTGAACTATGAAAGCAAGGTTCAACTCTGTGAGTTGAATGCAAACATCACAAAGAAGTTTCTCAGAATGCTTCCGTGTAGTTCTGGGAAGTTTATCCCGTTTCCAACGAAATCCTCAGAGAGGTCCAAATATCCACTTGCAGATTCTACAGAAAGTGTGTTTGGAAACTGCGCCATCTAAGGGAATCTTCAGCTCTGTTAGTTCAATCCAATGATCACTAAGAATTGTCTGTGAATGCTTCCGTTTGGTTTTTAGATGAAGTTATTTCCTTTACTACAGTAGGCCTCAAAGCAGTCCAAATCTCCAATCGCAGATTCTACAAAAAGATTGTTTACAACCTGCTCTATCTATAGGAATGTTCAACTCTGTGAGTCGAATGCAATCATCACAAAGTAGTTTCTGAGAATGCTTCCATCTAGTTTTTATGGGAAGATTTTCCTTTTCCACCACAGGCCTCAAAGCCCTCCAAATGTCCACTTGCAGATTCTAGAAAAAGAGGGTTTCAGAGCTGCTCTGTCAAGAGGAAAGTTCAATTCTTGAAGTGGAACACAAACATCACAAAGCAGTTTCTGAGAATGCTTCTGTTTAGTTTTTCTGTGAAGATGAACCCGTTTCCAACGAAATCTTCACAGTGGTCCACATATCAACTTGCAGAATCCAAAGAAAGAGAGTTTCAAAACTGCTCCATCAACAGGATTGTTCACCTCTGTGAGTTGAATGCAGTCATCACAGGAAACATTCTGAGAATGCTTCTGTCTAGGTTTGATGTGAAGATATACCCCTTTCGAAGGAAGGCCACAAAGTGGTCCAAATATCCACTTGCAGATTCTACAAAAAGAGTGTTTGAAAGCTGAACTATGAAAGCAAGGTTCAACTCTGTGAGTTGAATGCAAACATCACAAAGAAGTTTCTCACAATGCTTCCGTGTAGTTCTGGGAAGTTTATCCCGTTTCCAACGAAATCCTCAGAGAAGTCCAAATATCCACTTGCAGATTCTACAGAAAGTGTGTTTGGAAACTGCTCCATCTAAAGGAATGTTCAGCTCTGTTAGTTCAATCCAGTGATCACTAAGAATTGTCTGTGAATGCTTCCGTTTGGTTTTTAGATGAAGTTATTTCCTTTACTACAGTAGGCCTCAAAGCCGTCCAAATCTCCAATCGCAGATTCTACAAAAAGATTGTTTACAACCTGCTCTATCTATAGGAATGTTCAACTCTGTGAGTCGAATGCAATCATCACAAAGTAGTTTCTGAGAATGCTTCCATCTAGTTTTTATGTGAAGATTTTCCTTTTCCACCACAGGCCTCAAAGCCCTCCAAATGTCCACTTGCAGATTCTAGAAAAAGAGGGTTTCAGAGCTGCTCTGTCAAGAGGAAAGTTCAATTCTTGAAGTGGAACACAAACATCACAAAGCAGTTTCTGAGAATGCTCCTGTTTAGTTTTTCTGTGAAGATGAACCCGTTTCCAACGAAATCTTCACAGAGGTCCACATATCCACTTGCAGAATCCAAAGAAAGAGAGTTTCAAAACTGCTCCATCAACAGGATTGTTCACCTCTGTGAGTTGAATGCAGTCATCACAGGAAACATTCTGAGAATGCTTCTGTCTAGGTTTGATGTGAAGATATACCCGTTTCGAAGGAAGGCCACAAAGTGGTCCAAATATCCACTTGCAGATTCTACAAAAAGAGTGTTTGAAAGCTGAACTATGAAAGCAAGGTTCAACTCTGTGAGTTGAATGCAAACATCACAAAGAAGTTTCTCACAATGCTTCCGTGTAGTTCTGGGAAGTTTATCCCGTTTCCAACGAATTCCTCAGAGAAGTCCAAATATCCACTTGCAGATTCTACAGAAAGTGGGTTTGGCAACTGCTCCATCTAAAGGAATGTTCAGCTCTGTTAGTTCAATCCAATGATCACTAAGAATTGTCTGTGAATGCATCCGTTTGGTTTTTAGGATGAAGTTATTTCCTTTACTACAGTAGGCCTCAAAGCAGTCCAAATCTCCAATCGCAGATTCTACAAAAAGATTGTTTACAACCTGCTCTATCTATAGGAATGTTTAACTCTGTGAGTCGAATGCAATCATCACAAAGTAGTTTCTGAGAATGCTTCCATCTAGTTTTTATGTGAAGATTTTCCGTTTGCACCACAGGCCTCAAAGCCCTCAAAATGTCCACTTGCAGATTCTAGAATAAGAGGGTTTCAGAGCTGCTCTGTCAAGAGGAAAGTTCAATTCCTGAAGTGGAACAGAAACATCACAAAGCAGTTTCTGAGAATGCTTCTGTTTAGTTTTTCTGTGAAGATGAACCCGTTTCCAACGAAATCTTCACAGAGGTCCACATGTCTACTTGCAGAATCCAAACAAAGAGAGTTTCAAAACTGCTCCATCAGCAGGATTGTTCACCTCTGTGAGTTGAATGCAGTCATCACAGGAAACATTCTGAGAATGCTTCTGTCTAGGTTTGATGTGAAGATATACCCGTTTCGAAGGAAGGCCACAAAGTGGTCCAAATATCCACTTGCAGATTCTACAAAAAGAGTGTTTGAAAGCTGAACTATGAAAGCAAGGTTCAACTCTGTGAGTTGAATGCAAACATCACAAAGAAGTTTCTCACAATGCTTCCGTGTAGTTCTGGGAAGTTTATCCCGTTTCCAACGAAATCCTCAGAGAAGTCCAAATATCCACTTGCAGATTCTACAGAAAGTGGGTTTGGAAACTGCTCCATCTAAAGGAATGTTCAGCTCTGTTAGTTCAATCCAATGATCACTAAGAATTGTCTGTGAATGCTTCCGTTTGGTTTTTAGATGAAGTTATTTCCTTTACTACAGTAGGCCTCAAAGCAGTCCAAATCTCCAATCGCAGATTCTACAAAAAGATTGTTTACAACCTGCTCTATCTATAGGAATGTTCAACTGCTGTGAGTCGAATGCAATCATCACAAAGTAGTTTCTGAGAATGCTTCCATCTAGTATTTATGTGAAGATTTTCCTTTTCCACCACAGGCCTCAAAGCCCTCCAAATGTCCACTTGCAGATTCTAGAAAAAGAGGGTTTCAGAGCTGCTCTGTCAAGAGGAAAGTTCAATTCTTGAAGTGGAACACAAACATCACAAAGCAGTTTCTGAGAATGCTCCTGTTTAGTTTTTCTGTGAAGATGAACCCGTTTCCAACGAAATCTTCACAGAGGTCCACATATCCACTTGCAGAATCCAAAGAAAGAGAGTTTCAAAACTGCTCCATCAGCAGGATTGTTCACCTCTGTCAGTTGAATGCAGTCATCACAGGAAACATTCTGAGAATGCTTCTGTCTAGGTTTGATGTGAAGATATACCCGTTTCGAAGGAAGGCCACAAAGTGGTCGAAATATCCACTTGCAGATTCTACAAAAAGAGTGTTTGAAAGCTGAACTATGAAAGCAAGGTTCAACTCTGTGAGTTGAATGCAAACATCACAAAGAAGTTTCTCAGAATGCTTCCGTGTAGTTCTGGGAAGTTTATCCCGTTTCCAACGAAATCCTCAGAGAGGTCCAAATATCCAGTTGCAGAGTCTACAGAAAGTGTGTTTGGAAACTGCGCCATCTAAAGGAATGTTCAGCTCTGTTAGTTCAATCCAATGATCACTAAGAATTGTACTGTGAATGCTTCCGTTTGATTTTTAGATGAAGTTATTTCCTTTACTACAGTAGGCCTCAAAGCAGTCCAAATCTCCAATCGCAGATTCTACAAAAAGATTGTTTACAACCTGCTCTATCTATAGGAATGTTCAACTCTCTGAGTCGAATGCAATCATCACAAAGTAGTTTCTGAGAATGCTTCCATCTAGTTTTTATGTGAACATTTTCCTTTTCCACCACAGGCCTCAAAGCCCTCCAAATGTCCACTTGCAGATTCTAGAATAAGAGGGTTTCAGAGCTGCTCCGTCAAGAGGAAAGTTCAATTCCTGAAGTGGAACAAAAACATCACAAAGCAGTTTCTGAGAATGCTTCTGTTTAGTTTTTCTGTGAAGATGAACCCGTTTCCAACGAAATCTTCACAGAGGTCCACATATCAACTTGCAGAATCCAAAGAAAGAGAGTTTCAACACTGCTCCATCAGCAGGATTGTTCACCTCTGTGAGTTGAATGCAGTCATCACAGGAAACATTCTGAGAATGCTTCTGTCTAGGTTTGATGTGAAGATATACCCGTTTCGAAGGAAGGCCACAAAGTGGTCCAAATATCCACTTGCAGATTCTACAAAAAGAGTGTTTGAAAGCTGAACTATGAAAGCAAGGTTCAACTCTGTGAGTTGAATGCAAACATCACAAAGAAGTTTCTCAGAATGCTTCCGTGTAGTTCTGGGAAGTTTAGCCCGTTTCCAAAGAAATCCTCAGAGAGTTCCAAATATCCAGTGGCAGATTCTACAGAAAGTGTGTTTGGAAACTGCGCCATCTAAAGGAATGTTCAGCTCTGTTAGTTCAATCCAATGATCACTAAGAATTGTCTGTGAATGCTTCCGTTTGGTTTTTAGATGAAGTTATTTCCTTTACTAAAGTAGGCCTCAAAGCAGTCCAAATCTCCAATCGCAGATTCTACAAAAAGATTGTTTACAACCTGCTCTATCTATAGGAATGTTCAACTCTGTGAGTCGAATGCAATCATCACAAAGTAGTTTCTGAGAATGCTTCCATCTAGTTTTTATGTGAAGATTTTCCTTTTCCACCACAGGCCTCAAAGCCCTCCAAATGTCCACTTGCAGATTCTAGAAAAAGAGGGTTTCAGAGCTGCTCTGTCAAGAGTAAAGTTCAATTCTTGAAGTGGAACACAAACATCACAAAGCAGTTTCTGAGAATGCTCCTGTTTAGTTTTTCTGTGAAGATGAACCCGTTTCCAACGAAATCTTCACAGAGGTCCACATATCCACTTGCAGAATCCAAAGAAAGAGAGTTTCAAAACTGCTCCATCAACAGGATGGTTCACCTCTGTGAGTTGAATGCAGTCATCACAGGAAACATTCTGAGAATGCTTCTGTCTAGGTTTGATGTGAAGATATACCCGTTTCGAAGGAAGGCCACAAAGTGGTCCAAATATCCACTTGCAGATTCTACAAAAAGAGTGTTTGAAAGCTGAACTATGAAAGCAAGGTTCAACTCTGTGTGTTGAATGCAAACATCACAAAGAAGTTTCTCAGAATGCTTCCGTGTAGTTCTGGGAAGTTTATCCCGTTTCCAACGAAATCCTCAGAGAAGTCCAAATATCCACTTGCAGATTCTACAGAAAGTGGGTTTGGAAACTGCTCCATCTAAAGGAATGTTCAGCTCTGTTAGTTCAATCCAATGATCACTAAGAATTGTCTGTGAATGCTTCCGTTTGGTTTTTAGATGAAGTTATTTCCTTTACTGCAGTAGGCCTCAAAGCAGTCCAAATCTCCAATCGCAGATTCTTCAAAAAGATTGTTTACAACCTGCTCTATCTATAGGAATGTTCAACTCTGTGAGTCGAATGCAATCATCACAAAGTAGTTTCTGAGAATGCTTCCATCTAGTTTTTATGTGAAGATTTTCCTTTTCCACCACAGGCCTCAAAGCCCTCCAAATGTCCACTTGCAGATTCTAGAATAAGAGGGTTTCAGAGCTGCTCTGTCAAGAGGAAAGTTCAATTCCTGAAGTGGAACACAAACTTCACAAAGCAGTTTCTGAGAATGTTTCTGTTTAGTTTTTCTGTGAAGATGAACCCGTTTCCAACGAAATCTTCACAGAGGTCCACATATCAACTTGCAGAATCCAAAGAAAGAGAGTTTCAAAACTGCTCCATCAACAGGATTGTTCACCTCTGTGAGTTGAATGCAGTCATCACAGGAAACATTCTGAGAATGCTTCTGTCTAGGTTTGATGTGAAGATATACCCGTTTCGAAGGAAGGCCACAAAGTGGTCCAAATATCCACTTGCAGATTCTACAAAAAGAGTGTTTGAAAGCTGAACTATGAAAGCAAGGTTCAACCCTGTGAGTTGAATGCAACCATCACAAAGAAGTTTCTCAGAATGCTTCCGTGTAGTTCTGGGAAGTTTATCCCGTTTCCAACGAAATCCTCAGAGAGGTCCAAATATCCACTTGCAGATTCTACAGAAAGTGTGTTTGGAAACTGCGCCATCTAAAGGAATGTTCAGCTCTGTTAGTTCAATGCAATGATCACTAAGAATTGTCTGTGAATGCTTCCGTTTGGTTTTTAGATGAAGTTATTTCCTTTACTACAGTAGGCCTCAAAGCAGTCCAAATCTCCAATCGCAGATTCTACAAAAAGATTGTTTACAACCTGATCTATCTATAGGAATGTTCAACTCTGTGAGTCGAATGCAATCATCACAAAGTAGTTTCTGAGAATGCTTCCATCTAGTTTTTATGTGAAGATTTTCCTTTTCCACCACAGGCCTCAAAGCCCTCCAAATGTCCACTTGCAGATTCTAGAATAAGAGGGTTTCAGAGCTGCTCTGTCAAGAGAAAAGTTCAGTTCCTGAAGTGGAACACAAACATCACAAAGCAGTTTCTGAGAATGCTTCTGTTTAGTTTTTCTGTGAAGATGAACCCGTTTCCAACGAAATCTTCACAGAGGTCCACATATCCACTTGCAGAATCCAAAGAAAGAGAGTTTCAAAACTGCTCCATCAGCAGGATTGTTCACCTCTGTGTGTTGAATGCAGTCATCACAGGAAACATTCTGAGAATGCTTCGGTTTAGGTTTGATGTGAAGATATACCCGTTTCGAAGGAAGGCCACAAAGTGGTCCAAATATCCACTTGCAGATTATACAAAAAGAGTGTTTGAAAGCTGAACTAAGAAAGCAAGGTTCAACTCTGTGAGTTGAATGCAAACATCACAAAGAAGTTTCTCAGAATGCTTCCGTGTAGTTCTGGGAAGTTTATCCCGTTTCCAACGAAATCCTCAGAGAAGTCCAAATATCCACTTGCAGATTCTACAGAAAGTGTGTTTGGAAACTGCTCCATCTAAAGGAATGTTCAGCTCTGTTAGTTCAATCCAATGATCACTAGGAATTGTCTGTGAATGCTTCCGTTTGGTTTTTAGATGAAGTTATTTCCTTTACTACAGTAGGCCTCAAAGCAGTCCAAATCTCCAATCGCAGATTCTACAAAAAGATTGTTTACAACCTGCTCTATCTATAGGAATGTTCAACTCTGTGAGTCGAATGCAATCATCACAAAGTAGTTTCTGAGAGTGCTTCCATCTAGTTTTTATGTGAAGATTTTCCTTTTCCACCACATGCCTCAAAGCAATCCCAATGTCCACTTGCAGATTCTAGAAAAAGAGGGTTTCAGAGCTGCTCTGTCAAGAGGAAAGTTCAATTCTTGAAGTGCAACACGAACATCACAAAGCAGTTTCTGAGAATGCTCCTGTTTAGTTTTTCTGTGAAGATGAACCCGTTTCCAACGAAATCTTCACAGAGGTCCACATATCCACTTGCAGAATCCAAAGAAAGAGAGTTTCAAAACTGCTCCATCAGCAGGATTGTTTACCTCTGTGAGTTGAATGCAGTCATCACAGGAAACATTCTGAGAATGCTTCTGTCTAGGTTTGATGTGAAGATATACCCGTTTCGAAGGAAGGCCACAAAGTGGTCCAAATATCCACTTGCAGATTCTACAAAAAGAGTGTTTGAAAGGTGAACTATGAAAGCAAGGTTCAACTCTGTGAGTTGAATGCAAACATCACAAAGAAGTTTCTCAGAATGCTTCCGTGTAGTTCTGGGAAGTTTATCCCGTTTCCAATGAAATCCTCAGAGAGGTCCAAATATCCACTTGCAGATTCTACAGAAAGTGTGTTTGGAAACTGCGCCATCTAAAGGAATGTTCAGCTCTGTTAGTTCAATCCAATGATCACTAAGAATTGTCTGTGAATGCTTCCGTTTGGTTTTTAGATGAAGTTATTTCCTTTACTACAGTAGGCCTCAAAGCAGTCCAAATCTCCAATCGCAGATTCTACAAAAAGATGGTTTACAACCTGCTCTATGTATAGGAATGTTCACCTCTGTGAGTCGAATGCAATCATCACAAAGTAGTTTCTGAGAATACTTCCGTCTAGTTTTTATGTGAAGATTTTCCTTTTCCACCACAGGCCTCAAAGCCCTCCAAATATCCACTTGCATATTCTAGAATAAGAGGGTTTCAGAGCTGCTCTGTCAAGAGGAAAGTTCAATTCCTGAAGTGGAACACAAACATCACAAAGCAGTTTCTGAGAATGCTTCTGTTTAGTTTTTCTGTGAAGATGAACCCGTTTCCAACGAAATCTTCACAGAGGTCCACATATCCACTTGCAGAATCCAAAGAAAGAGAGTTTCAAAACTGCTCCATCAGCAGGATTGTTCACCTCTGTGAGTTGAATGCAGTCATCACAGGAAACATTCTGAGAATGCTTCTGTCTAGGTTTGATGTGAAGATATACCCGTTTCGAAGGAAGGCCACAAAGTGGTCCAAATATCCACTTGCAGATTCTACAAAAAGAGTGTTTGAAAGCTGAACTATGAAAGCAAGGTTCAACTCTGTGAGTTGAATGCAAACATCACAAAGAAGTTTCTCACAATGCTTCGGTGTAGTTCTGGGAAATATAACCCGTTTCCAACGAAATCCTCAGAGCAGGTCCAAATATCCACTTGCAGATTCTACAGAAAGTGGGTTTGGAAACTGCTCCATCTAAAGGAATGTTCAGCTCTGTTAGTTGAATCCAATGATCACTAAACATTGTCTGTGAATGCTTCCGTTTGGTTTTTAGATGAAGTTATTTCCTTTACTACAGTAGGCCTCAAAGCAGTCCAAATCTCCAATCGCAGATTCTACAAAAAGATTGTTTACAACCTGCTCTATCTATAGGAATGTTCAACTCTGTGAGTCGAATGCAATCATCACAAAGTAGTTTCTGAGAATGCTTCCATCTAGTTTTTATGGGAAGATTTTCCTTTTCCACCACAGGCCTCAAAGCCCTCCAAATGTCCACTTGCAGATTCTAGAAAAAGAGGGTTTCAGAGCTGCTCTGTCAAGAGGAAAGTTCAATTCTTGAAGTGGAACACAAACATCACAAAGCAGTTTCTGAGAATGCTCCTGTTTAGTTTTTCTGTGAAGATGAACCCGTTTCCAACGAAATCTACACAGAGGTCCACATATCCACTTGCACAATCCAAAGAAAGAGAGTTTCAAAACTGCTCCATCAGCAGGATTGTTCACCTCTGTGAGTTGAATGCAGTCATCACAGGAAACATTCTGAGAATGCTTCTGTCTAGGTTTGATGTGAAGATATACCCGTTTCGAAGGAAGGCCACAAAGTGGTCCAAATATCCACTTGCAGATTCTACAAAAAGAGTGTTTGAAAGCTGAACTATGAAAGCAAGGTTCAACTCTGTGAGTTGAATGCAAACATCACAAAGAAGTTTCTCACAATGCTTCCGTGTAGTTCTGGGAAGTTTATCCCGTTTCCAACGAAATCCTCAGAGAGGTCCAAGTATCCACGTTCAGTTTCTACAGAAAGTGTGTTTGGAAACTGCGCCATCTAAAGGAATGTTCAGCTCTGTTAGTTCAATGCAATGATCACTAAGAATTGTCTGTGAATGCTTCCGTTTGGTTTTTAGATGAAGTTATTTCCTTTACTACAGTAGGCCTCAAAGCAGTCCAAATCTCCAATCGCAGATTCTACAAAAAGATTGTTTACAACCTGCTCTATCTATAGGAATGTTCAACTCTGTGAGTCGAATGCAATCATCACAAAGTAGTTTCTGAGAATGCTTCCATCTAGTTTTTATGTGAAGATTTTCCTTTTCCACCACAGGCCTCAAAGCCCTCCAAATGTCCACTTGCAGATTCTAGAATAAGAGGGTTTCAGAGCTGCTCTGTCAAGAGGAAAGTTCAATTCCTGAAGTGGAACACAAACATCACAAAGCAGTTTCTGAGAATGCTCCTGTTTAGTTTTTCTGTGAAGATGAACCCGTTTCCAACGAAACCTTCACAGAGGTCCACATATCCACTTGCAGAATCCAAAGAAAGAGAGTTTCAAAACTGCTCCATCAACAGGATTGTTCACCTCTGTGATTTGAATGCAGTCATCACAGGAAACATTCTGAGAATGTTTCTGTCTAGGTTTGATGTGAAGATATACCCCTTTCGAAGGAAGGCCCCAAAGTGGTCCAAATATCCACTTGCAGATTCTACAAAAAGAGTGTTTGAAAGCTGAATTATGAAAGCAAGGTTCAACTCTGTGAGTTGAATGCAAACATCACAAAGAAGTTTCTCAGAATGCTTCCGTGTAGTTCTGGGAAGTTTATCCCGTTTCCAACGAAATCCTCAGAGAGGTCCAAATATCCACTTGCAGATTCTACAGAAAGTGTGTTTGGAAACTGCGCCATCTAAAGGAATGTTCAGCTCTGTTAGTTCAATCCAATGATCACTAAGAATTGTCTTTGAATGCTTCCGTTTGGTTTTTAGATGAAGTTATTTCCTTTACTACAGTAGGCCTCAAAGCAGTCCAAATCTCCAATCGCAGATTCTACAAAAAGATTGTTTACAACCTGCTCTATCTATAGGAATGTTCAACTCTGTGAGTCGAATGCAATCATCACAAAGTAGTTTCTGAGAATGCTTCCATCTAGTTTTTATGTGAAGAATTTCCTTTTCCACCACAGGCCTCAAAGCCCTCCAAATGTCCACTTGCAGATTCTAGAATAAGAGGGTTTCAGAGCTGCTCTGTCAAGAGGAAAGTTCAATTCCTGAAGTGGAACACAAACATCACAAAGCAGTTTCTGAGAATGCTCCTGTTTAGTTTTTCTGTGAAGATGAACCCGTTTCCAACGAAATCTTCACAGAGGTCCACATATCCACTTGCAGAATCCAAAGAAAGAGAGTTTCAAAACTGCTCCATCAGCAGGATTGTTCACCTCTGTGAGTTGAATGCAGTCATCACAGGAAACATTCTGAGAATGCTTCTGTCTAGGTTTGATGTGAAGATATACCCGTTTCGAAGGAAAGCCACAAAGTGGTCCAAATATCCACTTGCAGATTCTACAAAAAGAGTGTTTGAAAGCTGAACTATGAAAGCAAGTTTCAACTCTGTGAGTTGAATGCAAACATCACAAAGATGTTTCTCAGAATGCTTCCGTGTAGTTCTGATAAGTTTATCCCGTTTCCAACGAAATCCTCCGAGAAGTCCAAATATCCACTTGCAGATTCTACAGAAAGTGTGTTTGGAAACTGCTCCATCTAAAGGAATGTTCAGCTCTGTTAATTCAATCCAATATCACTTAGAATTATCTGTGAATGCTTCCGTTTGGTTTTTAGATGAAGTTATTTCCTTTACTACAGTAGGCCTCAAAGCAGTCCAAATCTCCAATCGCAGATTCTACAAAAAGATTGTTTACAACCTGCTCTATCTATAGGAATGTTCAACTCTGTGAGTCGAAAGCCATCATCACAAAGTAGTTTCTGAGAATGCTTCCATCTAGTTTTTATGTGAAGATTTTCCTTTTCCACCACAGGCCTCAAAGCCCTCCAAATGTCCACTTGCAGATTCTAGAAGAAGAGGGTTTCAGAGCTGCTCTGTCAAGAGGAAAGTTCAATTCTTGAAGTGGAACACAAATATCACAAAGCAGTTTCTGAGAATGCTTCTGTTTAGTTTTTCTGTGAAGATGAACCCGTTTCCAACGAAATCTTCACAGAGGTCCACATATCCACTTGCAGAATCCAAAGAAAGAGAGTTTCAAAACTGCTCCATCAGCAGGATTGTTCACCTCTGTGAGTTGAATGCAGTCATCACAGGAAACATTCTGAGAATGCTTCTGTCTAGGTTTGATGTGAAGATATACCCGTTTCGAAGGAAGGCCACAAAGTGGTCCAAATATCCACTTGCAGATTCTACAAAAAGAGTGTTTGAAAGCTGAACTATGAAAGCAAGGTTCAACCCTGTGAGTTGAATGCAAACATCACAAAGAAGTTTCTCAGAATGCTTCCGTGTAGTTCTGGGAAGTTTATCCCGTTTCCAACGAAATCCTCAGAGAAGTCCAAATATCCACTTGCAGATTCTACAGAAAGTGTGTTTGGAAACTGCGCCATCTAAAGGAATGTTCAGCTCTGTTAGTTCAATGCAATGATCACTAAGAATTGTCTGTGAATGCTTCCGTTTGGTTTTTAGATGAAGTTATTTCCTTTACTACAGTAGGCCTCAAAGCAGTCCAAATCTCCAATCGCAGATTCTACAAAAAGATTGTTTACAACCTGCTCTATGTATAGGAATGTTCAACTCTGTGAGTCGAATGCAATCATCACAAAGTAGTTTCTGAGAATGCTTCCATCTAGTTTTTATGTGAAGATTTTCCTTTTCCACCACAGGCCTCAAAGCCCTCCAAATGTCCACTTGCAGATTCTAGAAAAAGAGGGTTTCAGAGCTGCTCTGTCAAGAGGAAAGTTCAATTCTTGAAGTGGAACACAAACATCACAAAGTAGTTTCTGAGAATGCTTCTTTTTAGTTTTTCTGTGAAGATGAACCCGTTTCCAACGAAATCTTCACAGAGGTCCACATATCAACTTGCAGAATCCAAAGAAAGAGAGTTTCAAAAGTGCTCCATCAACAGGATTGTTCACCTCTGTGAGTTGAATGCAGTCATCACAGGAAACATTCTGAGAATGCTTCTGTCTAGGTTTGATGTGAAGATATACCCGTTTCGAAGGAAGGCCACAAAGTGGTCCAAATATCCACTTGCAGATTCTACAAAAAGAGTGTTTGAAAGCTGAACTATGAAAGCAAGGTTCAACTCTGTGAGTTGAATGCAAACATCACAAAGAAGTTTCTCACAATGCTTCCGTGTAGTTCTGGGAAGTTTATCCCGTTTCCAACGAAATCCTCAGAGAGGTCCAAATATCCACTTGCAGATTCTACAGAAAGTGTGTTTGGAAACTGTGCCATCTAAAGGAATGTTCAGCTCTGTTAGTTCAATCCAATAATCACTAAGAATTGTACTGTGAATGCTTCCGTTTGGTTTTTAGATGAAGTTATTTCCTTTACTACAGTAGGCCTCAAAGCAGTCGAAATCTCCAATCACAGATTCTACAAAAAGAATGTTTACAACCTACTCTATCTATACGAATGTTCAACTCTGTGAGTCGAATGCAATCATCACAAAGGAGTTTGTGAGAATGCTTCCATCTAGTTTTTATGTGAAGATTTTCCTTTTCCACCACAGGCCTCAAAGCCCTCCAAATGTCCACTTGCAGATTCTAGAATAAGAGGGTTTTAGAGCTGCTCTGTCAAGAGGAAAGTTCAATTCCTGAAGTGGAACACAAACATCACAAAGCAGTTTCTGAGAATGCTCCTGTTTAGTTTTTCTGTGAAGATGAACCCGTTTCCAACGAAATCTTCACAGAGGTCCACATATCCACTTGCAGAATCCAAAGAAAGAGAGTTTCAAAACTGCTCCATCAGCAGGATTGTTCACCTCTGTGAGTTGAATGCAGTCATCACAGGAAACATTCTGAGAATGCTTCTGTCTAGGTTTGATGTGAAGATATACCCGTTTCGAAGGAAGGCCACAAAGTGGTCCAAATATCCACTTGCAGATTCTACAAAAAGAGTGTTTGAAAGCTGAACTATGAAAGCAAGGTTCAACTCTGTGAGTTGAATGCAAACATCACAAAGAAGTTTCTCACAATGCTTCCGTGTAGTTCTGGGAAGTTTATCCCGTTTCCAACGAAATCCTCAGAGAGGTCCAAATATCCACTTGCAGATTCTACAGAAAGTGTGTTTGGAAACTGCTCCATCTAAAGGAATGTTCAGCTCTGTTAGTTCAATCCAATGATCACTAAGAATTGTCTGTGAATGCTTCCGTTTGGTTTTTAGATGAAGTTATTTCCTTTACTGCAGTAGGCCTCAAAGCAGTCCAAATCTCCAATCGCAGATTCTACAAAAAGATTGTTTACAACCTGCTCTATCTATAGGAATGTTCAACTCTGTGATTCGAATGCAATCATCACAAAGTAGTTTCTGAGAATGCTTCCATCTAGTTTTTATGGGAAGATTTTCCTTTTCCACCACAGGCCTCAAAGCCCTCCAAATGTCCACTTGCAGATTCTAGAAAAAGAGGGTTTCAGAGCTGCTCTGTCAAGAGGAAAGTTCAATTCTTGAAGTGGAACACAAACATCACAAAGCAGTTTCTGAGAATGCTTCTGTTTAGTTTTTCTGTGAAGATGAACCCGTTTCCAACGAAATCTTCACAGAGGTCCACATATCCACTTGCAGAATCCAAAGAAAGAGAGTTTCAAAACTGCTCCATCAGCAGGATTGTTCACCTCTGTGAGTTGAATGCAGTCATCACAGGAAACATTCTGAGAATGCTTCTGTCTAGGTTTGATGTGAAGATATACCCGTTTCGAAGGAAGGCCACAAAGTGGTCCAAATATCCACTTGCAGATTCTACAAAAAGAGTGTTTGAAAGCTGAACTATGAAAGCAAGGTTCAACTCTGTGAGTTGAATGCAAACATCACAAAGAAGTTTCTCACAATGCTTCCCTGTATTTCTGGGAGGCATATCCCTTTTACAACGAAATCCTCAGAGAAGTCCAAATATCCACTTGCAGATTCTACAGAAAGTGGGTTTGGAAACTGCTCCATCTAAAGGAATTTTCAGCTCTGTTAGTTCAATCCAATGATCACTAAGAATTTTGTGTGAATGCTTCCGTTTGGTTTTTAGATGAAGTTATTTCCTTTACTACAGTAGGCCTCAAAGCAGTCCAAATCTCCAATCGCAGATTCTACAAAAAGATTGTTTTCAACCTGCTCTATCTATAGCAATGTTCAACTCTGTGAGTCGAATGCAATCATCACAAAGTAGTTTCTGAGAATGCTTCCATCTAGTTTTTATGTGAAGATTTTCCTTTTCCACCACAGGCCTCAAAGCCCTCCAAATGTCCACTTGCAGATTCTAGAAAAAGAGGGTTTCAGAGCTGCTCTGTCAAGAGGAAAGTTCAATTCTTGAAGTGGAACACAAACATCACAAAGCAGTTTCTGAGAATGCTCCTGTTTAGTTTTTCTGTGAAGATGAACCCGTTTCCAACGAAATCTTCACAGAGGTCCACATATCCACTTGCAGAATCCAAAGAAAGAGAGTTTCAAAACTGCTCCATCAGCAGGATTGTTCACCTCTGTGAGTTGAATGCAGTCATCACAGGAAACATTCTGAAAATGCTTCTGTCTAGGTTTGATGTGAAGATATACCCGTTTCGAAGGAAGGCCACAAAGTGGTCCAAATATCCACTTGCAGATTCTACAAAAAGAGTGTTTGAAAGCTGAACTATGAAAGCAAGGTTCAACTCTGTGAGTTGAATGCAAACATCACAAAGAAGTTTCTCAGAATGCTTCCGTGTAGTTCTGGGAAGTTAATCCCGTTTCCAACGAAATCCTCAGAGAGGTCCAAATATCCACTTGCAGATTCTACAGAAAGTGTGTTTGGAAACTACGCCATCTAAAGGAATGTTCAGCTCTGTTAGATCAATGCAATGATCACTAAGAATTGTCTGTGAATGCTTCCGTTTGGTTTTTAGATGAAGTTATTTCCTTTACTACAGTAGGCCTCAAAGCAGTCCAAATCTCCAATCGCAGATTCTACAAAAAGATTGTTTTCAACCTGCTCTATCTATAGGAATGTTCAACTCTGTGAGTCGAATGCAATCATCACAAAGTAGTTTCTGAGAATGCTTCCATCTAGTTTTTATGTGAAGATTTTCCTTTTCCACCACAGGCCTCAAAGCCCTCCAAATGTCCACTTGCAGATTGTAGAATAAGAGGGTTTCAGAGCTGCTCTGTCAAGAGGAAAGTTCAATTCCTGAAGTGGAACACAAACATCACAAAGCAGTTTCTGAGAATGCTTCTGTTTAGTTTTTCTCTGAAGATGAACCCGTTTCCAACGAAATCTTCACAGAGGTCCACATATCCACTTGCAGAATCCAAAGAAAGAGAGTTTCAAAACTGCTCCGTCAGCAGGATTGTTCACCTCTGTGAGTTGAATGCAGTCATCACAGGAAACATTCTGAGAATGCTTCTGTCTAGGTTTGATGTGAAGATATACCCGTTTCGAAGGAAGGCCACAAAGTGGTCCAAATATCCACTTGCAGATTCTACAAAAAGAGTGTTTGAAAGCTGAACTATGAAAGCAAGGTTCAACTCTGTGAGTTGAATGCAAACATCACAAAGAAGTTTCTCAGAATGCTTCCGTGTAGTTCTGGGAAGTTTATCCCGTTTCCAACGAAATCCTCAGAGAAGTCCAAATATCCACTTGCAGATTCTACAGAAAGTGTGTTTGGAAACTGCGCCATCTAAAGGAATGTTCAGCTCTGTTAGTTCAATGCAATGATCACTAAGAATTGTCTGTGAATGCTTCCGTTTGGTTTTTAGATGAAGTTATTTCCTTTACTACAGTAGGCCTCAAAGCAGTCCAAATCTCCAATCGCAGATTCTACAAAAAGATTGTTTACAACCTGCTCTATCTATAGGAATGTTCAACTCTGTGAGTCGAATGCAATCATCACAAAGTAGTTTCTGAGAATGCTTCCATCTAGTTTTTATGTGAAGATTTTCCTTTTCCACCACAGGCCTCAAAGCCCTCCAAATGTCCACTTGCAGATTCTAGAAAAAGAGGGTTTCAGAGCTGCTCTGTCAAGAGGAAAGTTCAATTCTTGAAGTGGAACACAAACATCACAAAGCAGTTTCTGAGAATGTTTCTGTTTAGTTTTTCTGTGAAGATGAACCCGTTTCCAACGAAATCTTCACAGAAGTCCACATATCCACTTGCAGAATCCAAAGAAAGAGAGTTTCAAAACTGCTCCATCAACAGGATTGTTCACCTCTGTGAGTTGAATGCAGTCATCACAGGAAACATTCTGAGAATGCTTCTGTCTAGGTTTGATGTGAAGATATACCCGTTTCGAAGGAAGGCCACAAAGTGGTCCAAATATCCAATTGCAGATTCTACAAAAAGAGTGTTTGAAAGCTGAACTATGAAAGCAAGGTTCAACTCTGTGAGTTGAATGCAAACATCACAAAGAAGTTTCTCACAATGCTTCCGTGTAGTTCTGGGAAGTTTATCCCGTTTCCAACGAAATCCTCAGAGAAGTCCAAATATCCACTTGCAGATTCTACAGAAAGTGTGTTTGGAAACTGCTCCATCTAAAGGAATGTTCAGCTCTGTTAGTTCAATCCAATGATCACTAAGAATTGTCTGTGAATGCTTCCGTTTGGTTTTTAGATGAAGTTATTTCCTTTACTACAGTAGGCCTCAAAGCAGTCCAAATCTCCAATCGCAGATTCTACAAAAAGATTGTTTACAACCTGCTCTATCTATAGGAATGTTCAACTCTGTGAGTCGAATGCAATCATCACAAAGTAGTTTCTGAGAATGCTTCCATCTAGTTTTTATGTGAAGATTTTCCTTTTCCACCACAGGCCTCAAAGCCCTCCAAATGTCCACTTGCAGATTCTAGAATAAGAGGGTTTTAGAGCTGCTCTGTCAAGAGGAAAGTTCAATTCCTGAAGTGGAACACAAACATCACAAAGCAGTTTCTGAGAATGCTCCTGTTTAGTTTTTCTGTGAAGATGAACCCGTTTCCAACGAAATCTTCACAGAGGTCCACATATCCACTTGCAGAATCCAAAGAAAGAGAGTTTCAAAACTGCTCCATCAGCAGGATTGTTCACCTCTGTGAGTTGAATGCAGTCATCACAGGAAACATTCTGAGAATGCTTCTGTCTAGGTTTGATGTGAAGATATACCCGTTTCGAAGGAAGGCCACAAAGTGGTCCAAATATCCACTTTCTGTAGATTCTACAAAAAGAGTGTTTGAAAGCTGAACTATGAAAGCAAGGTTCAACTCTGTGAGTTGAATGCAAACATCACAAAGAAGTTTCTCAGAATGCTTCCGTGTAGTTCTGGGAAGTTTATCCCGTTTCCAACGAAATCCTCAGAGAAGTCCAAATATCCACTTGCAGATTCTACAGAAAGTGTGTTTGGAAACTGCTCCATCTAAAGGAATGTTCAGCTCTGTTAGTTCAATCCAATGATCACTAAGAATTGTCTGTGAATGCTTCCGTTTGGTTTTTAGATGAAGTTATTTCCTTTACTACAGTAGGCCTCAAAGCAGTCCAAATCTCCAATCGCAGATTCTACAAAAAGATTGTTTACAACCTGCTCTATCTATAGGAATGTTCAACTCTGTGAGTCGAATGCAATCATCACAAAGTAGTTTCTGAGAATGCTTCCATCTAGTTTTTATGTGAAGATTTTCCTTTTCCACCACAGACCTCAAAGCCCTCCAAATGTCCACTTGCAGATTCTAGAAAAAGAGGGTTTCAGAGCTGCTCTGTGAAGAGGAAAGTTCAATTCTTGAAGTGGAACACAAACATCACAAAGCAGTTTCGGAGAATGCTCCTGTTTAGTTTTTCTGTGAAGATGAACCCGTTTCCAACGAAACCTTCACAGAGGTCCACATATCCAATTGCAGAATCCAAAGAAAGAGAGTTTCAAAACTGCTCCATCAACAGGATTGTTCACCTCTGTGAGTTGAATGCAGTCATCACAGGAAACATTCTGAGAATGTTTCTGTCTAGGTTTGATGTGAAGATATACCCGTTTCGAAGGAAGGCCACAAAGTGGTCCAAATATCCACTTGCAGATTCTACAAAAAGAGTGTTTGAAAGCTGAACTATGAAAGCAAGGTTCAACTCTGTGAGTTGAATGCAAACATCACAAAGAAGTTTCTCACAATGCTTCCGTGTAGTTCTGGGAAGTTTATCCCGTTTCCAACGAAATCCTCAGAGAGGTCCAAATATCCACTTTCAGATTCTACAGAAAGTGTGTTTGGAAACTGCGCCATCTAAAGGAATGTTCAGCTCTGTTAGTTCAATGCAATGATCACTAAGAATTGTCTGTGAATGCTTCCGTTTGGTTTTTAGATGAAGTTATTTCCTTTACTACAGTAGGCCTCAAAGCAGTCCAAATCTCCAATCGCAGATTCTACAAAAAGATTGTTTACAACCTGCTCTATCTATAGGAATGTTCAACTCTGTGAGTCGAATGCAATCATCAAAAAGTAGTTTCTGAGAATGCTTCCATCTAGTTTTTATGTGAAGATTTTCCTTTTCCACCACAGGCCTCAAAGCCCTCCAAATGTCCACTTGCAGATTCTAGAAAAAGAGGGTTTCAGAGCTGCTCTGTCAAGAGGAAAGTTCAATTCTTGAAGTGGAACACAAACATCACAAAGTAGTTTCTGAGAATGCTCCTGTTTAGTTTTTCTGTGAAGATGAACCCGTTTCCAACGAAATCTTCACAGAGGTCCACATATCCACTTGCAGAATCCAAAGAAAGAGAGTTTCAAAACTGCTCCATCAGCAGGATTGTTCACATCTGTGAGTTGAATGCAGTCATCACAGGAAACATTCTGAGAATGCTTCTGTCTAGGTTTGATGTGAAGATATACCCGTTTCGAAGGAAGGCCACAAAGTGGTCCAAATATCCACTTGCAGATTCTACAAAAAGAGTGTTTGAAAGCTGAACTATGAAAGCAAGGTTCAACTCTGTGAGTTGAATGCAAACATCACAAAGAAGTTTCTCAGAATGCTCCGTGTAGTTCTGGGAAGTTTATCCCGTTTCCAACGAAATCCTCAGAGAAGTCCAAATATCCACTTGCAGATTCTACAGAAAGTGGGTTTGGAAACTGCTCCATCTAAAGGAATGTTCAGCTCTGTTAGTTCAATCCAATGATCACTAAGAATTGTCTGTGAATGCTTCCGTTTGGTTTTTAGATGAAGTTATTTCCTTTACTACAGTAGGCCTCAAAGCAGTCCAAATCTCCAATCGCAGATTCTACAAAAAGATTGTTTACAACCTGCTCTATCTATAGGAATGTTCAACTCTGTGAGTCGAATGCAATCATCACAAAGTAGTTTCTGAGAATGCTTCCATCTAGTTTTTATGTGAAGATTTTCCTTTTCCACCACAGGCCTCAAAGCCCTCCAAATGTCCACTTGCAGATTCTAGAAAAAGAGGGTTTCAGAGCTGCTCTGTCAAGAGGAAAGTTCAATTCCTGAAGTGGAACACAAACATCACAAAGCAGTTTCTGAGAATGCTTCTGTTTAGTTTTTCTGTGAAGATGAACCCGTTTCCAACGAAATCTTCACAGAGGTCCACATATCAACTTGCAGAATCCAAAGAAAGAGAGTTTCAAAACTGCTCCATCAACAGGATTGTTCACCTCTGTGAGTTGAATGCAGTCATCACAGGAAACATTCTGAGAATGCTTCTGTCTAGGTTTGATGTGAAGATATACCCGTTTCGAAGGAAGGCCACAAAGTGGTCCAAATATCCACTTGCAGATTCTACAAAAAGAGTGTTTGAAAGCTGAACTATGAAAGCAAGGTTCAACTCTGTGAGTTGAATGCAAACATCACAAAGAAGTTTCTCAGCATGCTTCCGTGTAGTTCTGGGACGTTTATCCCGTTTCCAACGAAATCCTCAGAGAAGTCCAAATATCCACTTGCAGATTCTACAGAAAGTGGGTTTGGAAACTGCTCCATCTAAAGGAATGTTCAGCTCTGTTAGTTCAATCCAATGATCACTAAGAATTGTCTGTGAATGCTTCCGTTTGGTTTTTAGATGAAGTTATTTCCTTTACTACAGTAGGCCTCAAAGCAGTCCAAATCTCCAATCGCAGATTCTACAAAAAGATTGTTTACAACCTGCTCTATCTATAGGAATGTTCAACTCTGTGAGTCGAATGCAATCATCACAAAGTAGTTTCTGAGAATGCTTCCATCTAGTTTTTATGTGAAGATTTTCCTTTTCCACCACAGGCCTCAAAGCCCTCCAAATGTCCACTTGCAGATTCTAGAATAAGAGGGTTTCAGAGCTGCTCTGTCAAGAGGAAAGTTCAATTCCTGAAGTGGAACACAAACATCACAAAGCAGTTTCTGAGAATGCTTCTGTTTAGTTTTTCTGTGAAGATGAACCCGTTTCCAACGAAATCTTCACAGAGGTCCACATATCCACTTGCAGAATCCAAAGAAAGAGAGTTTCAAAACTGCTCCATCAGCAGGATTGTTCACCTCTGTGAGTTGAATGCAGTCATCACAGGAAACATTCTGAGAATGCTTCTGTCTAGGTTTGATGTGAAGATATACCCGTTTCTAAGGAAGGCCACAAAGTGGTCCAAATATCCACTTGCAGATTCTACAAAAAGAGTGTTTGAAAGCTGAACTATGAAAGCAAGGTTCAACTCTGTGAGTTGAATGCAAACATCACAAAGAAGTTTCTAAGAATGCTTCCGTGTAGTTCTGGGAAGTTTATCCCGTTTCCAACGAAATCCTCAGAGAGGTCCAAATATCCACTTGCAGATTCTACAGAAAGTGTGTTTGGAAACTGCTCCATCTAAAGGAATGTTCAGCTCTGTTAGTTCAATGCCATGATCACTAAGAATTGTCTGTGAATGCTTCCGTTTGGTTTTTAGATGAAGTTATTTCCTTTACTACAGTAGGCCTCAAAGCAGTCCAAATCTCCAATCGCAGATTCTACAAAAAGATTGTTTACAACCTGCTCTATCTATAGGAATGTTCAACTCTGTGAGTCGAATGCAATCATCACAAAGTAGTTTCTGAGAATGCTTCCATCTAGTTTTTATGGGAAGATTTTCCTTTTCCACCACAGGCCTCAAAGCCCTCCAAATGTCCACTTGCAGATTCTAGAAAAAGAGGGTTTCAGAGCTGCTCTGTCAAGAGGAAAGTTCAATTCTTGAAGTGGAACACAAACATCACAAAGCAGTTTCTGAGAATGCTTCTGTTTAGTTTTTCTGTGAAGATGAACCCGTTTCCAATGAAATCTTCATAGAGGTCCACATATCCACTTGCAGAATCCAAAGAAAGAGAGTTTCAAAACTGCTCCATCAACAGGATTGTTCACCTCTGTGAGTTGAATGCAGTCATCACAGGAAACATTCTGAGAATGCTTCTGTCTAGGTTTGATGTGAAGATATACCCGTTTCGAAGGAAGGCCACAAAGTGGTCCAAATATCCACTTGCAGATTCTACAAAAAGAGTGTTTGAAAGCTGAACTATGAAAGCAAGGTTCAACTCTGTGAGTTGAATGCAAACATCACAAAGAAGTTTCTCACAATGCTTCCGTGTAGTTCTGGGAAGTTTATCCCGTTTCCAACGAAATCCTCAGAGAGGTCCAAATATCCACTTGCAGATTCTACAGAAAGTGTGTTTGGAAACTGCGCCATCTACAGGAATGTTCAGCTCTGTTAGTTCAATGCAATGATCACTAAGTATTGTCTGTGAATGCTTCCGTTTGGTTTTTAGATGAAGTTATTTCCTTTACTACAGTAGGCCTCAAAGCAGTCCAAATCTCCAATCGCAGATTCTACAAAAAGATTGTTTACAACCTGCTCTATCTATAGGAATGTTCAACTCTGTGAGTCGAATGCAATCATCACAAAGTAGTTTCTGAGAATGCTTCCATCTAGTTTTTATGTGAAGATTTTCCTTTTCCACCACAGGCCTCAAAGCCCTCCAAATGTCCACTTGCAGATTCTAGAAAAAGAGGGTTTCAGAGCTGCTCTGTCAAGAGGAAAGTTCAATTCCTGAAGTGGAACACAAACATCACAAAGCAGTTTCTGAGAATGCTTCTGTTTAGTTTTTCTGTGAAGATGAACCCGTTTCCAACGAAATCTTCACAGAGGTCCACATATCCACTTGCAGAATCCAAAGAAAGAGAGTTTCAAAACTGCTCCATCAACAGGATTGTTCACCTCTGTGAGTTGAATGCAGTCATCACAGGAAACATTCTGAGAATGCTTCTGTCTAGGTTTGATGTGAAGATATACCCGTTTCGAAGGAAGGCCACAAAGTGGTCCAAATATCCACTTGCAGATTCTACAAAAAGAGTGTTTGAAAGCTGAACTATGAAAGCAAGGTTCAACTCTGTGAGTTGAATGCAAACATCACAAAGAAGTTTTTCAGAATGCTTCCGTGTAGTTCTGGGAAGTTTATCCCGTTTCCAACGAAATCCTCAGAGAAGTCCAAATATCCACTTGAAGATTCTACAGAAAGTGTGTTTGGAAACTGCTCCATCTAAAGGAATGTACAGGTCTGTTAGTTCAATCCAATGATCACTAAGAATTGTCTGTGAATGCTTCCGTTTTGTTTTTAGATGAAGTTATTTCCTTTACTACAGTAGGCCTCAAAGCAGTCCAAATCTCCAATCTCAGATTCTACAAAAAGATTGTTTACAACCTACTCTATCTATAGGAATGTTCAACTCTGCGAGTCGAATGCAATCATCACAAAGTAGTTTCTGAGAATGCTTCCATCTAGTTTTTATGTGAAGATTTTCCTTTTCCACCACAGGCCTCAAAGCCCTCCAAATGTCCACTTGCAGATTCTAGAATAAGAGGGTTTCAGAGCTGCTCTGTCAAGAGGAAAGTTCAATTCTTGAAGTGGAACACAAACATCACAAAGCAGTTTCTGAGAATGCTTCTGTTTAGTTTTTCTGTGAAGATGAACCCGTTTCCAACGAAATCTTCACAGAGGTCCACATATCCACTTGCAGAATCCAAAGAAAGAGAGTTTCAAAACTGCTCCATCAGCAGGATTGTTCACCTCTGTGAGTTGAATGCAGTCATCACAGGAAACATTCTGAGAATGCTTCTGTCTAGGTTTGATGTGAAGATATACCCGTTTCGAAGGAAAGCCACAAAGTGGTCCAAATATCCACTTGCAGATTCTACAAAAAGAGGGTTTGAAAGCTGAACTATGAAAGCAAGGTTCAACTCTGTGAGTTGAATGCAAACATCACAAAGAAGTTTCTCAGAATGCTTCCGTGTAGTTCTGGGAAGTTTATCCCGTTTCCAACGAAATCCTCAGAGAAGTCCAAATATCCACTTGCAGATTCTACAGAAAGTGTGTTTGGAAAATGCTCCATCTAAAGGAATGTTCAGCTCTGTTAGTTCAATCCAATGATCACTAAGAATTGTCTGTGAATGCTTCCCATTTGGTTTTTAGATGAATTTATTTCCTTTACTACAGTAGGCCTCAAAGCAGTCCAAATCTCCAATCGCAGATTCTACAAAAAGATTGTTTACAACCTGCTCTATCTATAGGAATGTTCAACTCTGTGAGTCGAATGCAATCATCACAAAGTAGTTCCTGAGAATGCTTCCATCTAGTTTTTATGTGAAGATTTTCCTTTTCCACCACAGGCCTCAAAGCCCTCCAAATGTCCACTTGCAGATTCTAGAAAAAGAGGGTTTCATGGCTGCTCTGTCAAGAGGAAAGTTCAATTCCTGAAGTGGAACACAAACATCACAAAGCAGTTTCTGAGAATGCTCCTGTTTAGTTTTTCTGTGAAGATGAACCCGTTTCCAACGAAATCTTCACAGAGGTCCACATATCCACTTGCAGAATCCAAAGAAAGAGAGTTTCAAAACTGCTCCATCAGCAGGATTGTTCACCTCTGTGAGTTGAATGCAGTCATCACAGGAAACATTCTGAGAATGCTTCTGTCTAGGTTTGATGTGAAGATATACCCGTTTCGAAGGAAGGCCACAAAGTGTTCGAAATATCCTCTTGCAGATTCTACAAAAAGAGTGTTTGAAAGCTGAACTATGAAAGCAAGGTTCAACCCTGTGAGTTGAATGCAACCATCACAAAGAAGTTTCTCAGAATGCTTCCGTGTAGTTCTGGGAAGTTTATCCCGTTTCCAACGAAATCCTCAGAGAGGTCCAAATATCCACTTGCAGATTCTACAGAAAGTGTGTTTGGAAACTGCGCCATCTAAGGGAATGTTCAGCTCTGTTAGTTCAATCCAATGATCACTAAGAATTGTCTGTGAATGCTTCCGTTTGGTTTTTAGATGAAGTTATTTCCTTTACTACAGTAGGCCTCAAAGCAGTCCAAATCTCCAATCGCAGATTCTACAAAAAGATTGTTTACAACCTGCTCTATCTATAGGAATGTTCAACTCTGTGAGTCGAATGCAATCATCACAAAGTAGTTTCTGAGAATGCTTCCATCTAGTTTTTATGTGAAGATTTTCCTTTTCCACCACAGGCCTCAAAGCCCTCCAAATGTCCACTTGCAGATTCTAGAATAAGAGGGTTTCAGAGCTGCTCGGTCAAGAGGAAAGTTCAATTCTTGAAGTGGAACACAAACATCACAAAGCAGTTTCGGAGAATGCTTCTGTTTAGTTTTTCTGTGAAGTTGAACCCGTTTCCAACGAAATCTTCACAGAGGTCCACATATCCACTTGCAGAATCCAAAGAAAGAGAGTTTCAAAACTGCTCCATCAGCAGGATTGTTCACCTCTGTGAGTTGAATGCAGTCATCACAGGAAACATTCTGAGAATGCTTCTGTCTAGGTTTGATGTGAAGATATACCCGTTTCGAAGGAAGGCCACAAAGTGGTCCAAATATCCACTTGCAGATTCTACAAAAAGAGTGTTTGAAAGCTGAACTATGAAAGCAAGGTTCAACTCTGTGAGTTGAATGCAAACATCACAAAGAAGTTTCTCAGCATGCTTCCCTGTAGTTCTGGGAAGCATATCCCGTTTCCAACGAAATCCTCAGAGAAGTCCAAATATCCACTTGCAGATTCTACAGAAAGTGGGTTTGGAAACTGCTCCATCTAAAGGAATGTTCAGCTCTGTTAGTTCAATGCAATGATCACTAAGAATTGTCTGTGAATGCTTCCGTTTGGTTTTTAGATGAAGTTATTTCCTTTACTACAGTAGGCCTCAAAGCAGTCCAAATCTCCAATCGCAGATTCTACAAAAAGATTGTTTACAACCTGCTCTATCTGTAGGAAAGTTCAACTCTGTGAGTCGAATGCAATCATCACAAAGGAGTTTCTGAGAATGCTTCCATCTAGTTTTTATGTGAAGATTTTCCTTTTCCACCACAGGCCTCAAAGCCCTCCAAATGTACACTTGCAGATTCTAGAAAAAGAGGGTTTCAGAGCTGCTCTGTCAAGAGGAAAGTTCAATTCTTCAAGTGGAACAAAAACATCACAAAGCAGTTTCTGAGAATGCTCCTGTTTAGTTTTTCTGTGAAGATGAACCCGTTTCCAACGAAATCTTCACAGAGGTCCACATATCCACTTGCAGAATCCAAAGAAAGAGAGTTTCAAAACTGCTCCATCAACAGGATTGTTCACCTCTGTGAGTTGAATGCAGTCATCACAGGAAACATTCTGAGAATGCTTCTGTCTAGGTTTGATGTGAAGATATACCCGTTTCGAAGGAAGGCCACAAAGTGGTCCAAATATCCACTTGCAGATTCTACAAAAAGAGTGTTTGAAAGCTGAACTATGAAAGCAAGGTTCAACTCTGTGAGTTGAATGCAAACATCACAAAGAAGTTTCTCACAATGCTTCCGTGTAGTTCTGGGAAGTTTATCCCGTTTCCAACGAAATCCTCAGAGAAGTCCAAATATCCACTTGCAGATTCTACAGAAAGTGTGTTTGGAAACTGCTCCATCTAAAGGAATGTTCAGCTCTGTTAGTTCAATCCAATGATCACTAAGAATTGTCTGTGAATGCTTCCGTTTGGTTTTTAGATGAAGTTATTTCCTTTACTACAGTAGGCCTCAAAGCAGTCCAAATCTCCAATCGCAGATTCTACAAAAAGATTGTTTACAACCTGCTCTATCTATAGGAATGTTCAACTCTGTGAGTCGAATGCAATCATCACAAAGTAGTTTCTGAGAATGCTTCCATCTAGTTTTTATGTGAAGATTTTCCTTTTCCACCACAGGCCTCAAAGCCCTCCAAATGTCCACTTGCAGACTCTAGAAAAAGAGGGTTTCAGAGCTGCTCTGTCAAGAGGAAAGTTCAATTCTTGAAGTGGAACACAAACATCACAAAGCAGTTTCTGAGAATGCTTCTGTTTAGTTTTTCTGTGAAGATGAACCCGTTTCCAACGAAATCTTCACAGAGTTCCACATATCCACTTGCAGAATCCAAAGAAAGAGAGTTTCAAAACTGCTCCATCAGCAGGATTGTTCACCTCTGTGAGTTGAATGCAGTCATCACAGGAAACATTCTGAGAATGCTTCTGTCTATGTTTGATGTGAAGATATACCCGTTTCGAAGGAAGGCCACAAAGTGGTCCAAATATCCACTTGCAGATTCTACAAAAAGAGTGTTTGAAAGCTGAACTATGAAAGCAAGGTTCAACTCTGTGAGTTGAATGCAAACATCACAAAGAAGTTTCTCAGAATGCTTCCGTGTAGTTCTGGGAAGTTTATCCGGTTTCCAACCGAAATCCTCAGAGAAGTCCAAATATCCACTTGCAGATTCTACAGAAAGTGTGTTTGGAAACTGCTCCATCTAAAGGAATGTTCAGCTCTGTTAGTTCAATCCAATGATCACTAAGAATTGTCTGTGAATGCTTCCGTTTGGTTTTTAGATGAAGTTATTTCCTTTACTACAGTAGGCCTCAAAGCAATCCAAATCTCCAATCGCAGATTCTACAAAAACATTGTTTACAACCTGCTCTATCTATAGGAATGTTCAACTCTGTGAGTCGAATGCAATCATCACAAAGTAGTTTCTGAGAATGCTTCCATCTAGTTTTTATGTGAAGATTATCCTTTTCCACCACAGGCCTCAAAGCCCTCTAAATGTCCACTTGCAGATTCTAGAAAAAGAGGGTTTCAGAGCTGCTCTGTCAAGAGGAAAGTTCAATTATTGAAGTGGAACACAAACATCACAAAGCAGTTTCTGAGAATGCTCCTGTTTAGTTTTTCTGTGAAGATGAACCCGTTTCCAACGAAATCTTCACAGAGGTCCACATATCCACTTGCAGAATCCAAAGAAAGAGAGTTTCAAAACTGCTCCATCAGCAGGATTGTTCACCTCTGTGAGTTGAATGCAGTCATCACAGGAAACATTCTGAGAATGCTCCTGTTTAGTTTTTCTGTGAAGATGAACCCGTTTCGAAGGAAGGCCCCAAAGTGGTCCAAATATCCACTTGCAGATTCTACAAAAAGAGTGTTTGAAAGCTGAACTTTGAAAGCAAGGTTCAACTCTGTGAGTTGAATGCAAACATCACAAAGAAGTTTCTCAGAATGCTTCCGTGTAGTTCTGGGAAGTTTATCCCGTTTCCAACGAAATCCTCAGAGAGGTCCAAATATCCACTTGCAGATTCTACAGAAAGTGTGTTTGGAAACTGCGCCATCTAAAGCAATGTTCAGCTCTGTTAGTTCAATGCAATGATCACTAAGAATTGTCTGTGAATGCTTCCGTTTGGTTTTTAGATGAAGTTATTTCCTTTACTACAGTAGGCCTCAAAGCAGACCAAATCTCCAATCGCAGATTCTACAAAAAGATTGTTTACAACCTGCTCTATCTATAGGAATGTTCAACTCTGTGAGTCAAATGCAATCATCACAAAGTAGTTTCTGAGAATGCTTCCATCTAGTTTTTATGTGAAGATTTTCCTTTTCCACCACAGGCCTCAAAGCCCTCCAAATGTCCACTTGCAGATTCTAGAAAAAGAGGGTTTCAGAGCTGCTCTGTCAAGAGGAAAGTTCAATTCCTGAAGTGGAACACAAACATCACAAAGCAGTTTCTGAGAATGCTCCTGTTTAGTTTTTCTGTGAAGATGAACCCGTTTCCAACGAAATCTTCACAGAGGTCCACATATCCACTTGCAGAATCCAAAGAAAGAGAGTTTCAAAACTGCTCCATCAGCAGGATTGTTCACCTCTGTGAGTTGAATGCAGTCATCACAGGAAACATTCTGAGAATGCTTCTGTCTAGGTTTGATGTGAAGATATACCCGTTTCGAAGGAAGGCCACAAAGTGGCCCAAATATCCACTTGCAGATTCTACAAAAGGAGTGTTTGAAAGCTGAACTATGAAAGCAAGGTTCAACTCTGTGAGTTGAATGCAAACATCACAAAGAAGTTTCTCAGAATGCTTTCCGTGTAGTTCTGGGAAGTTTATCCCGTTTCCAACGAAATCCTCAGAGAAGTCCAAATATCCACTTGCAGATTCTACAGAAAGTGTGTTTGGAAACTGCTCCATCTAAAGGAGTGTTCAGCTCTGTTAGTTCAATCCAATGATCACTAAGAATTGTCTGTGAATGCTTCCGTTTGGTTTTTAGATGAAGTTATTTCCTTTACTACAGTAGGCCTCAAAGCAGTCCAAATCTGCAATCGCAGATTCTACAAAAAGATTGTTTACAACCTGCTCTATCTATAGGAATGTTCAACTCTGTGAGTCGAATGCAATCATCACAAAGTAGTTTCTGAGAATGCTTCCATCTAGTTTTTATGTGAAGATTTTCCTTTTCCACCACAGGCCTCAAAGCCCTCCAAATGTCCACTTGCAGATTCTAGAAAAAGAGGGTTTCAGAGCTGCTCTGTCAAGAGGAAAGTTCAGTTCTTGAAGTGGAACACAAACATCACAAAGCAGTTTCTGAGAATGCTTCTGTTTAGTTTTTCTGTGAAGATGAACCCGTTTCCAACGAAATCTTCACAGAGGTCCACATATCCACTTGCAGAATCCAAAGAAAGAGAGTTTCAAAACTGCTCCATCAGCAGGATTGTTCACCTCTGTGAGTTGAATGCAGTCATCACAGGAAACATTCTGAGAATGCTTCTGTCTAGGTTTGATGTGAAGATATACCCGTTTCGAAGGAAGGCCACAAAGTGGTCCAAATATCCACTTGCAGATTCTACAAAAAGAGTGTTTGAAAGCTGGACTATGAAAGCAAGGTTCAACTCTGTGAGTTGAATGCAAACATCACAAAGAAGTTTCTCAGAATGCTTCCGTGTAGTTCTGGGAAGTTTATCCCGTTTCCAACGAAATCCTCAGAGAGGTCCAAATATCCACTTGCAGATTCTCCAGAAAGTGTGTTTGGAAACTGCGCCATCTACAGGAATGTTCAGCTCTGTTAGTTCAATGCAATGATCAGTAAGAATTGTCTGTGAATGCTTCCGTTTGGTTTTTAGATGAAGTTATTTCCTTTACTACAGTAGGCCTCAAAGCAGTCCAAATCTCCAATCGCAGATTCTACAAAAAGATTGTTTACAACCTGCTCTATCTATAGGAATGTTCAACTCTGTGAGTCGAATGCAATCATCACAAAGTAGTTTCTGAGAATGCTTCCATCTAGTTTTTATGGGAAGATATTCCTTTTCCACCACAGGCCTCAAAGCCCTCCAAATGTCCACTTGCAGATTCTAGAAAAAGAGGGTTTCAGAGCTGCTCTGTCAAGAGGAAAGTTCAATTCTTGAAGTGGAACACAAACATCACAAAGCAGTTTCTGAGAGTGCTTCTGTTTAGTTTTTCTGTGAAGATGAACCCGTTTCCAACGAAATCTTCACAGAGGTCCACATATCAACTTGCAGAATCCAAAGAAAGAGAGTTTCAAAACTGCTCCATCAACAGGATTGTTCACCTCTGTGAGTTGAATGCAGTCATCACAGGAAACATTCTGAGAATGCTTCTGTCTAGGTTTGATGTGAAGATATACCCGTTTCGAAGGAAGGCCAGAAAGTGGTCCAAATATCCACTTGCAGATTCTACAAAAAGAGTGTTTGAAAGCTGAACTATGAAAGCAAGGTTCAACTCTGTGAGTTGAATGCAAACATCACAAAGAAGTTTCTCAGAATGCTTCCGTGTAGTTCTGGGAAGTTTATCCCTTTTCCAACGAAATCCTCAGAGAGGTCCAAATATCCACTTGCAGATTCTACAGAAAGTGTGTTTGGAAACTGCTCCATCTAAAGGAATGTTCAGCTCTGTTACTTCAATCCAATGATCACTAAGAATTGTCTGTGAATGCTTCCGTTTGGTTTTTAGATGAAGTTATTTCCTTTACTACAGTAGGCCTCAAAGCAGTCCAAATCTCCAATCGCAGATTCTACAAAAAGGTTGTTTACAACCTGCTCTATCTATAGGAATGTTCAACTCTGTGAGTCGAATGCAATCATCACAAAGTAGTTTCTGAGAATGCTTCCATCTAGTTTTTATGTGAAGATTTTCCTTTTCCACCACAGGCCTCAAAGCCCTCCAAATGTCCACTTGCAGATTCTAGAATAAGAGGGTTTCAGAGCTGCTCCGTCAAGAGGAAAGTTCAATTCCTGAAGTGGAACAAAAACATCACAAAGCAGTTTCTGAGAATGCTTCTGTTTAGTTTTTCTGTGAAGATGAACCCGTTTCCAACGAAATCTTCACAGAGGTCCACATATCCACTTGCAGAATCCAAAGAAAGAGAGTTTCAAAACTGCTCCATCAGCAGGATTGTTCACCTCTGTGAGTTGAATGCAGTCATCACAGGAAACATTACTGAGAAGGCTTCTGTCTAGGTTTGATGTGAAGATATACCCGTTTCAAAGGAAGGCCACAAAGTGGTCCAAATATCCACTTGCAGATTCTACAAAAAGAGTGTTTGAAAGCTGAACTATGAAAGCAAGGTTCAACTCTGTGACTTGAATGCAAACATCACAAAGAAGTTTCTCACAATGCTTCCGTGTAGTTCTGGGAAGTTTATCCCATTTCCAACGAAATCCTCAGAGAAGTCCAAATATCCACTTGCAGATTCTACAGAAAGTTTGTTTGGAAACTGCCCCATCTAAAGGAATGTTCAGCTCTGTTAGTTCAATCCAATGATCACTAAGAATTGTCTGTGAATGCTTCCGTTTGGTTTTTAGATGAAGTTATTTCCTTTACTACAGTAGGCCTCAAAGCAGTCCAAATCTCCAATCGCAGATTCTACAAAAAGATTGTTTACAACCTGCTCTATCTATAGGAATGTTCAACTCTGTGAGTTGAATGCAATCATCACAAAGTAGTTTCTGAGAATGCTTCCATCTACTTTTTATGTGAAGATTTTCCTTTTCCACCACAGGCCTCAAAGCCCTCCAAATGTCCACTTGCACATTCTAGAAAAAGAGGGTTTCAGAGCTGCTCTGTCAAGAGGAAAGTTCAATTCTTGAAGTGGAACACAAACATCACAAAGCAGTTTCTGAGAATGCTCCTGTTAATTTTTCTGTGAAGATGAACCCGTTTCCAACGAAATCTTCACAGAGGTCCACATATCCACTTGCAGAATCCAAAGAAAGAGAGTTTCAAAACTGCTCCATCAGCAGGATTGTTCACCTCTGTGAGTTGAATGCAGTCATCACAGGAAACATTCTGAGAATGCTTCTGTCTAGGTTTGATGTGAAGATATACCCGTTTCGAAGGAAGGCCACAAAGTGGTCCAAATATCCACTTGCAGATTCTACAAAAAGAGTGTTTGAAAGCTGAACTATGAAAGCAAGGTTCAACTCTGTGAGTTGAATGCAAACATCACAAAGAAGTTTCTCAGAATGCTTCCGTGTAGTTCTGGGAAGTTTATCCCGTTTCCAACGAAATCCTCAGAGAGGTCCAAATATCCACTTGCAGATTCTACAGAAAGTGTGTTTGGAAACTGCTCCATCTAAAGGAATGTTCAGCTCTGTTAGTTCAATCCAATGATCACTAAGAATTGTCTGTGAATGCTTCCGTTTGGTTTTTAGATGAAGTTATTTCCTTTACTACAGTAGGCCTCAAAGCAGTCCAAATCTCCAATCGCAGATTCTACAAAAAGATTGTTTACAACCTGCTCTATCTATAGGAATGTTCAACTCTGTGAGTCGAATGCAATCATCACAAAGTAGTTTCTGAGAATGCTTCCATCTAGTTTTTATGTGAAGATTTTCCTTTTGCACCACAGGCCTCAAAGCCCTCCAAATGTCCACTTGCAGATTCTAGAAAAAGAGGGTTTCAGAGCTGCTCTGTCAAGAGGAAAGTTCAATTCTTGAAGTGGAACAAAAACATCACAAAGCAGTTTCTGAGAATGCTCCTGTTTAGTTTTTCTGTGAAGATGAACCCGTTTCCAACGAAATCTTCACAGAGGTCCACATATCCACTTGCAGAATCCAAAGAAAGAGAGTTTCAAAACTGCTCCATCAGCAGGATTGTTCACCTCTGTGAGTTGAATGCAGTCATCACAGGAAACATTCTGAGAATGCTTCTGTCTAGGTTTGATGTGAAGATATACCCGTTTCGAAGGAAGGCCACAAAGTGGTCCAAATATCCACTTGCAGATTCTACAAAAAGAGTGTTTGAAAGCTGAACTATGAAAGCAAGGTTCAACTCTGTGAGTTGAATGCAAACATCACAAAGAAGTTTCTCAGAATGCTTCCCTGTAGTTCTGGGAAGTTTATGCCGTTTCCAACGAAATCCTCAGAGAAGTCCAAATATCCACTTGCAGATTCTACAGAAAGTGTGTTTGGAAACTGCTCCATCTAAAGGAATGTTCAGCTCTGTTAGTTCAATCCAATGATCACTAAGAATTGTCTGTGAATGCTTCCGTTTGGTTTTTAGATGAAGTTATTTCCTTTACTACAGTATGCCTCAAAGCAGTCCAAATCTCCAATCGCAGATTTTACAAAAAGATTGTTTACAACCTGCTCTATCTATAGGAATGTTCAACTCTGTGAGTCGAATGCAATCATCACAAAGTAGTTTCTGAGAATGCTTCCATAAAGTTTTTATGTGAAGATTTTCCTTTTCCACCACAGGCCTCAAAGCCCTCCAAATGTCCACTTGCAGATTCTAGAAAAAGAGGGTTTCAGAGCTGCTCTGTCAAGAGGAATGTTCAACTCTTGAAGTGGAACACAAACATGATAATGCAGTTTCTGAGAATGCTTCTGTTTAGTTTTTCTGTGAAGATGAACCCGTTTCCAACGAAATCTTCACAGAGGTCCACATATCCACTTGCAGAATCCAAAGAAAGAGAGTTTCAAAACTGCTCCATCAGCAGGATTGTTCACCTCTGTGAGTTGAATGCAGTCATCACAGGAAACATTCTGAGAATGCTTCTGTCTAGGTTTGATGTGAAGATATACCCGTTTCGAAGGAAGGCCACAAAGTGGTCCAAATATCCACTTGCAGATTCTACAAAAAGAGTGTTTGAAAGCTGAACTATCAAAGCAAGGTTCAACTCTGTGAGTTGAATGCAAACATCACAAAGAAGTTTCTCAGAATGCTTCCGTGTAGTTCTGGGAAGTTTATCCTGTTTCCAACGAAATCCTCAGAGAGGTCCAAATATCCAGTTGCAGATTCTACAGAAAGTGTGTTTGGAAACTGCTCCATCTAAAGGAATGTTCAGCTCTGTTGGTTCAATCCAATGATCACTAAGAATTGTCTGTGAATGCTTCCGTTTGGTTTTTAGATGAATTTATTTCCTTTACTACAGTAGGCCTCAAAGCAGTCCAAATCTCCAATCGCAGATTCTACAAAAAGATTGTTTACAACCTGCTCTATCTATAGGAATGTTCAACTCTGTGAGTCGAATGCAATCATCACAAAGTAGTTTCTGAGAATGCTTCCATCTAGTTTTTATGTGAAGATTTTCCTTTTCCACCACAGGCCTCAAAGCCCTCCAAATGTCCACTTGCAGATTCTAGAATAAGAGGGTTTCAGAGCTGCTCTGTCAAGAGGAAAGTTCAATTCCTGAAGTGGAACACAAACATCACAAAGCAGTTTCTGAGAATGCTCCTGTTTAATTTTTCTGTGAAGATGAACCCGTTTCCAACGAAATCTTCACAGAGGTCCACATATCCACTTGCAGAATCCAAAGAAAGAGAGTTTCAAAACTGCTCCATCAGCAGGATTGTTCACCTCTGTGAGTTGAATGCAGTCATCACAGGAAACATTCTGAGAATGCTTCTGTCTAGGTTTGATGTGAAGATATACCCGTTTCGAAGGAAGGCCACAAAGTGGTCCAAATATCCACTTGCAGATTCTACAAAAAGAGTGTTTGAAAGCTGAACTATGAAAGCAAGGTTCAACTCTGTGAGTTGAATGCAAACATCACAAAGAAGTTTCTCAGAATGCTTCCCTGTAGTTCTGGGAAGTTTATCCCGTTTCCAACGAAATCCTCACAGAGGTCCAAATATCCACTTGCAGATTCTACAGAAAGTGTGTTTGGAAACTGCGCCATCTAAAGGAATGTTCAGCTCTGTTAGTTCAATGCAATGATCACTAAGAATTGTCTGTGAATGCTTCCGTTTGGTTTTTAGATGAAGTTATTTCCTTTACTACAGTAGGCCTCAAAGCAGTCCAAATCTCCAATCGCAGATTCTACAAAAAGATTGTTTACAACCTGCTCTATCTATAGGAATGTTCAACTCTGTGAGTCGAAAGCCATCATCACAAAGTAGTTTCTGAGAATGCTTCCATCTAGTTTTTATGTGAAGATTTTCCTTTTGCACCACAGGCCTCAAAGCCCTCCAAATGTCCACTTGCAGATTCTAGAAAAAGAGGGTTTCAGAGCTGCTCTGTCAAGAGGAAAGTTCAATTCTTGATGTGGAACACAAACATCACAAAGCAGTTTCTGAGAATGCTTCTGTTTAGTTTTTCTGTGAAGATGAACCCGTTTCCAACGAAATCTTCACAGAGGTCCACATATCCACTTGCAGAATCCAAAGAAAGAGAGTTTCAAAACTGCTCCATCAGCAGGATTGTTCACCTCTGTGAGTTGAATGCAGTCATCACAGGAAACATTCTGAGAATGCTTCTGTCTAGGTTTGATGTGAAGATATACCCGTTTCGAAGGAAGGCCACAAAGTGGTCCAAATATCCACTTGCAGATTCTACAAAAAGAGTGTTTGAAAGCTGAACTATGAAAGCAAGGTTCAACTCTGTGAGTTGAATGCAAACATCACAAAGAAGTTTCTCACAATGCTTCCGTGTAGTTCTGGGAAGTTTATCCCGTTTCCAACGAAATCCTCAGAGAAGTCCAAATATCCACTTGCAGATTCTACAGAAAGTGTGTTTGGAAACTGCTCCATCTAAAGGAATGTTCAGCTCTGTTAGTTCAATGCAATGATCACTAAGAATTGTCTGTGAATGCTTCCGTTTGGTTTTTAGATGAAGTTATTTCCTTTACTACAGTAGGCCTCAAAGCAGTCCAAATCTCCAATCGCAGATTCTACAAAAAGATTGTTTACAACCTGCTCTATCTATAGGAATGTTCAACTCTGTGAGTTGAATGCAATCATCACAAAGTAGTTTCTGAGAATGCTTCCATCTAGTTTTTATGTGAAGATATTCCTTTTCCACCACAGGCCTCAAAGCCCTCCAAATGTCCACTTGCAGATTCTAGAATAAGAGGGTTTCAGAGCTGCTCTGTCAAGAGGAAAGTTTAATTCCTGAAGTGGAACACAAACATCACAAAGCAGTTTCCGAGAATGCTTCTGTTTAGTTTTTCTGTGAAGATGAACCCGTTTCCAACGAAATCTTCACAGAGGTCCACATATCCACTTGCAGAATCCAAAGAAAGAGAGTTTCAAAACTGCTCCATCTGCAGGATTGTTCACCTCTGTGAGTTGAATGCAGTCATCACAGGAAACATTCTGAGAATGCTTCTGTCTAGGTTTGATGTGAAGATATACCCGTTTCGAAGGAAGGCCACAAAGTGGTCCAAATATCCACTTGCAGATTCTACAAAAAGAGTGTTTGAAAGCTGAACTATGAAAGCAAGGTTCAACTCTGTGAGTTGAATGCAAACATCACAAAGAAGTTTCTCAGAATGCTTCCGTGTAGTTCTGGGAAGTTTATCCCGTTTCCAACGAAATCCTCAGAGAGGTCCAAATATCCACTTGCAGATTCTACAGAAAGTGTGTTTGGAAACTGCGCCATCTAAAGGAATGTTCAGCTCTGTTAGTTCAATCCAATGATCACTAAGAATTGTCTGTGAATGCTTCCGTTTGGTTTTTAGATGAAGTTATTTCCTTTACTACAGTAGGCCTCAAAGCAGTCCAAATCTCCAATCGCAGATTCTACAAAAAGATTGTTTACAACCTGCTCTATCTATAGGAATGTTCAACTGCTGTGAGTCGAATGCAATCATCACAAAGTAGTTTCTGAGAATGCTTCCATCTAGTTTTTATGTGAAGATTTTCCTTTTCCACCACAGGCCTCAAATCCCTCCAAATGTCCACTTGCACATTCTAGAAAAAGAGGGTTTCAGAGCTGCTCTGACAAGAGGAAAGTTCAATTCCTGAAGTGGAACACAAACATCACAAAGCAGTTTCTGAGAATGCTTCTGTTTAGTTTTTCTGTGAAGATGAACCCGTTTCCAACGAAATCTTCTCAGAGGTCCACATATCAACTTGCAGAATCCAAAGAAAGAGAGTTTCAAAAGTGCTCCATCAACAGGATTGTTCACCTACTGTGAGTTGAATGCAGTCATCACAGGAAACATTCTGAGAATGCTTCTGTCTAGGTTTGATGTGAAGATATACCCTTTTCGAAGGAAGGCCACAAAGTGGTCCAAATATCCACTTGCAGATTCTACAAAAAGAGTGTTTGAAAGCTGAACTATGAAAGCAAGGTGCAAATCTGTGAGTTGAATGCAAACATCACAAAGAAGTTTCTCAGAATGCTTCCCTGTAGTTCTGGGAAGTTTATCCCTTATCCAACGAAATCCTCAGAGAAGTCCAAATATCCACTTGCAGATTCTACAGAAAGTGTGTTTGGAAACTGCTCCATCTAAAGGAATGTTCAGCTCTGTTAGTTCAATCCAATGATCACTAAGAATTGTCTGTGAATGCTTCCGTTTGGTTTTTAGATGAAGTTATTTCCTTTACTACAGTAGGCCTCAAAGCAGTCCAAATCTCCAATCGCAGATTCTACAAAAAGATTGTTTACAACCTGCTCTATCTATAGGAATGTTCAACTCTGTGAGTCGAATGCAATCATCACAAAGTAGTTTCTGAGAATGCTTCCATCTAGTTTTTATGTGAAGATTTTCCTTTTCCACCACAGGCCTCAAAGCCCTCCAAATGTCCACTTGCAGATTCTAGAATAAGAGGGTTTCAGAGCTGCTCTGTCAAGAGGAAAGTTCAATTTCCTGAAGTGGAACACAAACATCACAAAGCAGTTTCTGAGAATGTTCCTGTTTAGTTTTTCTGTGAAGATGAACCCGTTTCCAACGAAATCTTCACAGAGGTCCACATATCCACTTGCAGAATCCAAAGAAAGAGAGTTTCAAAACTGCTCCATCAGCAGGATTGTTCACCTCTGTGAGTTGAATGCAGTCATCACAGGAAACATTCTGAGAATGCTTCTGTCTAGGTTTGATGTGAAGATATACCCGTTTCGAAGGAAGGCCACAAAGTGGTCCAAATATCCACTTGCAGATTCTACAAAAAGAGTGTTTGAAAGGTGAACTATGAAAGCAAGGTTCAACCCTGTGAGTTGAATGCAAACATCACAAAGAAGTTTCTCAGAATGCTTCCGTGTAGTTCTGGGAAGTTTATCCCGTTTCCAACGAAATCCTCAGAGAGGTCCAAATATCCACTTGCAGATTCTACAGAAAGTGTGTTTGGAAACTGCGCCATCTAAAGGAATGTTCAGCTCTGTTAGTTCAATACAATGATCACTAAGAATTGTCTGTGAATGCTTCCGTTTGGTTTTTAGATGAAGTTATTTCCTTTACTACAGTAGGCCTCAAAGCAGTCCAAATCTCCAATCGCAGATTCTACAAAAAGATTGTTTACAACCTGCTCTATCTATAGGAATGTTCAACTCTGTGAGTCGAATGCAATCATCACATAGTAGTTTCTGAGAATGCTTCCATCTAGTTTTTATGTGAAGATTTTCCTTTTCCACCACAGGCCTCAAAGCCCTCCAAATGTCCACTTGCAAATTCTAGAAAAAGAGGGTTTCAGAGCTGCTCTATCAAGAGGAAAGTTCAGTTCCTGAAGTGGAACACAAACATCACAAAGCAGTATCTGAGAATGTTCCTGTTTAGTTTTTCTGTGAAGATGAACCCGTTTCCAATGAAATCTTCACAGAGGTCCACATATCCACTTGCAGAATCCAAAGAAAGAGAGTTTCAAAACTGCTCCATCAACAGGATTGTTCACATCTGTGAGTTGAATGCAGTCATCACAGGAAACATTATGAGAATGCTTCTGTCTAGGTTTGATGTGAAGATATACCCGTTTCGAAGGAAGGCCACAAAGTGGTCCAAATATCCACTTGCAGATTCTACAAAAAGAGTGTTTGAAAGCTGAACTATGAAAGCAAGGTTCAACTCTGTGAGTTGAATGCAAACATCACAAAGAAGTTTCTCAGAATGCTTCCGTGTAGTTCTGGGAAGTTTATCCCGTTTCCAACGAAATCCTCAGAGAAGTCCAAATATCCACTTGCAGATTCTACAGAAAGTGTGTTTGGAAACTGCTCCATCTAAAGTAATGTTCAGCTCTGTTAGTTCAATCCAATGATCACTAAGAATTGTCTGTGAATGCTTCCGTTTGGTTTTAGATGAAGTTATTTCCTTTACTACAGTAGGCCTCAAAGCAGGCCAAATCTCCAATCGCAGATTCTTGAAAAAGATTGTTTACAACCTGCTCTATCTATAGGAATGTTCAACTCTGTGAGTCGAATGCAATCATCACAAAGTAGTTTCTGAGAATGCTTCCATCTAGTTTTTATGTGAAGATTTTCCTTTTCCACCACAGGCCTCAAAGCCCTCCAAATGTCCACTTGCAGATTCTAGAATAAGAGGATTTCAGAGCTGCTCTGTCAAGAGGAAAGTTCAATTCCTGAAGTGGAACACAAACATCACAAAGCAGTTTCTGAGAATGCTTCTGTTTAGTTTTTCTGTGAAGATGAACCCGTTTCCAACGAAATCTTCACAGAGGTCCACATATCCACTTGCAGAATCCAAAGAAAGAGAGTTTCAAAACTGCTCCATCAGCAGGATTGTTCACCTCTGTGAGTTGAATGCAGTCATCACAGGAAACATTCTGAGAATGCTTCTGTCTAGGTTTGATGTGAAGATATACCCGTTTCGAAGGAAGGCCACAAAGTGGTCCAAATATCCACTTGCAGATTCTACAAAAAGAGTGTTTGAAAGCTGAACTATGAAACCAAGGTTCAACTCTGTGAGTTGAATGCAAACATCACAAAGAATTTTCTCACAATGCTTCCGTGTAGTTCTGGGAAGTTTATCCCGTTTCCAACGAAATCCTCAGAGAGGTCCAAATATCCACTTGCAGATTCTACAGAAAGTGTGTTTGGAAACTGCGCCATCTAAAGGAATGTTCAGCTCTGTTAGTTCAATGCAATGATCACTAAGGATTGTCTGTGAATGCTTCCGTTTGGTTTTTAGATGAAGTTATTTCCTTTACTACAGTAGGCCTCAAAGCAGTCCAAATCTCCAATCGCAGATTCTACAAAAAGATTGTTTTCAACCTGCTCTATCTATAGGAATGTTCAACTCTGTGAGTCGAATGCAATCATCACAAAGTAGTTTCCGAGAATGCTTCCATCTAGTTTTTATGTGAAGATTTTCCTTTTCCACCACAGGCCTCAAAGCCCTCCAAATGTCCACTTGCAGATTCTAGAAAAAGAGGGTTTCAGAGCTGCTCTGTCAAGAGGAAAGTTCAATTCTTGAAGTGGAACACAAACATCACAAAGCAGTTTCTGAGAATGCTTCTGTTTAGTTTTTCTGTGAAGATGAACCTGTTTCCAACCAAATCTTCACAGAGGTCCACATATCCACTTGCAGAATCCAAAGAAAGAGAGTTTCAAAACTGCTCCATCTACAGGATTGTTCACCTCTGTGAGTTGAATGCAGTCATCACAGGAAACATTCTGAGAATGCTTCTGTCTAGGTTTGATGTGAAGATATACCCGTTTCGAAGGAAGGCCACAAAGTGGTCCAAATATCCACTTGCAGATTCTACAAAAAGACTCTTTGAAAGCTGAACTATGAAAGCAAGGTTCAACTCTGTGAGTTGAATGCAAACATCACAAAGAAGTTTCTCAGAATGCTTCCGTGTAGTTCTGGGAAGTTTATCCCGTTTCCAACGAAATCCTCAGAGAAGTCCAAATATCCACTTGCAGATTCTACAGAAAGTGTGTTTGGAAACTGCTCCATCTAAAGGAATGTTCAGCTCTGTTAGTTCAATCCAATGATCACTAAGAATTGTCTGTGAATGCTTCCGTTTGGTTTTTAGATGAAGTTATTTCCTTTACTACAATAGGCCTCAAAGCAGTCCAAATCTCCAATCACAGATTCTACAAAAAGATTGTTTACAACCTGCTCTATCTATAGGAATGTTCAACTCTGTGAGTCGAATGCAATCATCACAGAGTACTTTCTGAGAATGCTTCCATCTAGTTTTTATGTGAAGATTTTCCTTTTCCACCACAGGCCTCAAAGCCCTCCAAATGTCCACTTGCAGATTCTAGAATAAGAGGGTTTTAGAGCTGCTCTGTCAAGAGGAAAGTTCAATTCCTGAAGTGGAACACAAACATCACAAAGCAGTTTCTGAGAATGCTCCTGTTTAGTTTTTCTGTGAAGATGAACCCGTTTCCAACGAAATCTTCACAGAGGTCCTCATATCTACTTGCAGAATCCAAAGAAAGAGAGTTTCAAAACTGTTCCTTCAGCAGGATTGTTCACCTCTGTGAGTTGAATGCAGTCATCACAGGAAACATTCTGAAAATGCTTCTGTCTAGGTTTGATGTGAAGATATACCCGTTTCGAAGGAAGGCCACAAAGTGGTCCAAATATCCACTTGCAGATTCTACAAAAAGAGTGTTTGAAAGCTGAACTATGAAAGCAAGGTTCAACTCTGTGAGTTGAATGCAAACATCACAAAGAAGTTTCTCAGAATGCTTCCGTGTAGTTCTGGGAAATTTATCCCGTTTCCAACGAAATCCTCAGAGAGGTCCAAATATCCACTTGCAGATTCCACAGAAAGTGGGTTTTTAAACTGCGCCATCTAAAGGAATGTTCAGCTCTGTTAGTTCAATCCAATGATCACTAAGAATTGTCTGTGAATGCTTCCGTTTGGTTTTTAGGTGAAGTTATTTCCTTTACTACAGTAGGCCTCAAAGCAGTCCAAATCTCCAATCGCAGATTCTACAAAAAGATTGTTTACAACCTTCTCTATCTATAGGAATGTTCAACTTCTGTGAGTCGAATGCAATCATCACAAAGTAGTTTCTGAGAATGCTTTCCATCTAGTTTTTATGTGAAGATTTTCCTTTTCCACCACAGGCCTCAAAGCCCTCCAAATGTCCACTTGCAGATTCTAGAATAAGAGGGTTTTAGAGCTGCTCTGTCAAGAGGAAAGTTCAATTCCTGAAGTGGAACACAAACATCACAAAGCAGTTTCTGAGAATGCTTCTGTCTAGTTTTTCTGTGAAGATGAACCCGTTTCAAACGAAATCTTCACAGAGGTCCACATATCCACTTGCAGAATCCAAAGAAAGAGAGTTTCAAAACTGCTCCATCAGCAGGATTGTTCACCTCTGTGAGTTGAATGCATTCATCACAGGAAACATTCTGAGAATGCTTCTGTCTAGGTTTGATGTGAAGATATACCCGTTTCGAAGGAAGGCCACAAAGTGGTCCAAATATCCACTTGCAGATTCTACAAAAAGAGTGTTTGAAAGCTGAACTATGAAAGCAAGGTTCAACTCTGTGAGTTGAATGCAAACATCACAAAGAAGTTTCTCAGAATACTTCCGTGTAGTTCTGGGAAATTTATCCCGTTTCCAACGAAATCCTCAGAGAGGTCCAAATATCCACTTGCAGATTCTACAGAAAGTGTGTTTGGAAACTGCGCCATCTAAAGGAATGTTCAGCTCTGTTAGTTCAATCCAATGATAACTAAGAATTGTCTGTGAATGCTTCCGTTTGGTTTTTAGATGAAGTTATTTCCTTTACTACAGTAGGCCTCAATGCAGTCCAAATCTCCAATCGCAGATTCTACAAAAAGATTGTTTACAACCTGCTCTATCTATAGGAATGTTCAACTCTGTGAGTCGAATGCAATCATCACAAAGTAGTTTCTGAGAATGCTTCCATCTAGTTTTTATGGGAAGATTTTCCTTTTCCACCACAGGCCTCAAAGCCCTCCAAATGTCCACTTGCAGATTCCAGAAAAAGAGGGTTTCAGAGCTGCTCTGTCAAGAGGAAAGTTCAATTCTTGAAGTGGAACACAAACATCACAAAGCAGTTTCTGAGAATGCTTCTGTTTAGTTTTTCTGTGAAGATGAAACCGTTTCCAACGAAATCTTCACAGAGGTCCACATATCCACTTGCAGAATCAAAAGAAAGAGAGTTTCAAAACTGCTCCATCAACAGGATTGTTCACCTCTGTGAGTTGAATGCAGTCATCACAGGAAACATTCTGAGAATGCTTCTGTCTAGGTTTGATGCGAAGATATACCCGTTTCGAAGGAAGGCCAAAATGTGGTCCAAATATTCACTTGCAGATTCTACAAAAAGAGTGTTTGAAAGCTGAACTATGAAAGCAAGATTCAACTCTGTGAGTTGAATGCAAACATCACAAAGAAGTTTCTCAGAATGCTTCCGTGTAGTTCTGGGAAGTTTATCCCGTTTCCAACGAAATCCTCAGAGAAGTCCAAATATCCACTTGCAGATTCTACAGAAAGTGGGTTTGGAAACTGCTCCATCTAAAGGAATGTTCAGCTCTGTTAGTTCAATCCAATGATCACTAAGAATTGTCTGTGAATGCTTCCGTTTGGTTTTTAGATGAAGTTATTTCCTTTACTACAGTAGGCCTCAAAGCAGTCCAAATCTCCAATCGCAGATTCTACAAAAAGATTGTTTACAACCTGCTCTATCTATAGGAATGTTCAACTCTGTGAGTCGAAAGCCATCATCACAAAGTAGTTTCTGAGAATGCTTCCATCTAGTTTTTATGTGAAGATTTTCCTTTTCCACCACAGGCCTCAAAGCCCTCCAAATGTCCACTTGCAGATTCTAGAATAAGAGGGTTTCAGAGCTGCTCTGTCAAGAGGAAAGTTCAATTCCTGAAGTGGAACACAAACATCACAAAGCAGTTTCTGAGAATGCTTCTGTTTAGTTTTTCTGTGAAGATGAACCCGTTTCCAACGAAATCTTCACAGAGGTCCACATATCCACTTGCAGAATCCAAAGAAAGAGAGTTTCAAAACTGCTCCATCAGCAGGATTGTTCACCACTGTGAGTTGAATGCAGTCATTACAGGAAACATTCTGAGAATGCTTCTGTCTAGGTTTGATGTGAAGATATACCCGTTTCGAAGGAAGGCCACAAAGTGGTCCAAATATCCACTTGCAGATTCTACAAAAAGAGTGTTTGAAAGCTGAACTATGAAAGCAAGGTTCAACTCTGTGAGTTGAATGCAAACATCACAAAGAAGTTTCTCAGAATGCTTCCGTGTTGTTCTGGGAAGTTTATCCCGTTTCCAACGAAATCCTCAGAGAAGTCCAAATATCCACTTGCAGATTCTACAGAAAGTGTGTTTGGAAACTGCTCCATCTAAAGGAATGTTCAGCTCTGTTAGTTCAATCCAGTGATCACTAAGAATTGTCTGTGAATGCTTCCGTTTGGTTTTTAGATGAAGTTATTTCCTTTACTACAGTAGGCCTCAAAGCAGTCCTAATCTCCAATCGCAGATTCTACAAAAAGATTGTTTACAACCTGCTCTATCTATAGGAATGTTCAACTCTGTGAGTCGAATGCAATCATCACAAAGTAGTTTCTGAGAATGCTTCCATCTAGTTTTTATGTGAAGATTTTCCTTTTCCACCACAGGCCTCAAAGCCCTCCAAATGTCCACTTGCAGATTCTAGAATAAGAGGGTTTCAGAGCTGCTCTGTCAAGAGGAAAGTTCAATTCCTGAAGTGGAACACAAACATCACAAAGCAGTTTCTGAGAATGCTTCTGTTTAGTTTTTCTGTGAAGATGAACCCGTTTCCAACGAAATCTTCACAGAGGTCCACATATCCACTTGCAGAATCCAAAGAAAGAGAGTTTCAAAACTGCTCCATCAGCAGGATTGTTCACCTCTGTGAGTTGAATGCAGTCATCACAGGAAACATTCTGAGAATGCTTCTGTCTAGGTTTGATGTGAAGATATACCCGTTTCGAAGGAAGGCCACAAAGTGGTCCAAATATCCACTTGCAGATTCTACAAAAAGAGTGTTTGAAAGCTGAACTATGAAAGCAAGGTTCAACTCTGTGAGTTGAATGCAAGCATCACAAAGAAGTTTCTCAGAATGCTTCCCGTGTAGTTCTGGGAAGTTTATCCCGTTTCCAACGAAATCCTCAGAGAAGTCCAAATATCCACTTGCAGATTCTACAGAAAGTGGGTTTGGAAACTGCTCCATCTAAAGGAATGTTCAGCTCTGTTAGTTCAATGCAATGATCACTAAGAATTGTCTGTGAATGCTTTCCGTTTGGTTTTTAGATGAAGTTATTTCCTTTACTACAGTAGGCCTCAAAGCAGTCCAAATCTCCAATCGCAGATTCTACAAAAAGATTGTTTACAACCTGCTCTATCTATAGGAATGTTCAACTCTGTGAGTCGAATGCAATCATCACAAAGTAGTTTCTGAGAATGCTTCCATCTAGTTTTTATGTGAAGATTTTCCTTTTCCACCACAGGCCTCAAAGCCCTCCAAATGTCCACTTGCAGATTCTAGAATAAGACGGTTTCAGAGCTGCTCTGTCAAGAGGAAAGTTCAATTCCTGAAGTGGAACACAAACATCACAAAGCAGTTTCTGAGAATGCTTCTGTTTAGTTTTTCTGTGAAGATGAACCCGTTTCCAACGAAATCTTCACAGAGGTCCACATATCCACTTGCAGAATCCAAAGAGAGGGAGTTTCAAAACTGCTCCATCAGCAGGATTGTTCACCTCTGTGAGTTGAATGCAGTCATCACAGGAAACATTCTGAGAATGCTTCTGTCTAGGTTTGATGTGAAGATATACCCGTTTCGAAGGAAGGCCAGAAAGTGGTCCAAATATCCACTTGCAGATTCTACAAAAAGAGTGTTTGAAAGCTGAACTATGAAAGCAAGGTTCAACTCTGTGAGTTGAATGCAAACATCACAAAGAAGTTTCTCAGAATGCTTCCGTGTAGTTCTGGGAAGTTTATCCCATTTCCAACGAAATCCTCAGAGAAGTCCAAATATCCACTTGCAGATTCTGCAGAAAGTGTGTTTGGAAACTGCTCCATCTAAAGGAATGTTCAGCTCTGTTAGTTCAATCCAATGATCACTAAGAATTGTCTGTGAATGCTTTCCGTTTGGTTTTTAGATGAAGTTATTTCCTTTACTACAGTAGGCCTCAAAGCAGTCCAAATCTCCAATCGCAGATTCTACAAAAAGATTGTTTACAACCTGCTCTATCTATAGGAATGTTCAACTCTGTGAGTCGAATGCAATCATCACAAAGTAGTTTCTGAGAATGCTTCCATCTAGTTTTTATGTGAAGATTTTCCTTTTCCACCACAGGCCTCAAAGCCCTCCAAATGTCCACTTGCAGATTCTAGAAAAAGAGGGTTTCAGAGCTGCTCTGTCAAGAGGAAAGTTCAATTCTTGAAGTGGAACACAAACATCCCAAAGCAGATTCTGAGAATGCTCCTGTTTAGTTTTTCTGTGAAGATGAACCCGTTTCCAACGAAATCTTCACAGAGGTCCACATATCCACTTGCAGAATCCAAAGAAAGATAGTTTCAAAACTGCTCCATCAGCAGGATTGTTCACCTCTGTGAGTTGAATGCAGTCATCACAGGAAACATTCTGAGAATGCTTCTGTCTAGGTTTGATGTGAAGATATACCCGTTTCGAAGGAAGGCCACAAAGTGGTCCAAATATCCACTTGCAGATTCTACAAAAAGAGTGTTTGAAAGCTGAACTATGAAAGCAAGGTTCAACTCTGTGAGTTGAATGCAAACATCACAAAGAAGTTTCTCACAATGCTCCGTGTAGTTCTGGGAAGTTTATCCCGTTTCCAACGAAATCCTCAGAGAAGTCCAAATATCCACTTGCAGATTCTACAGAAAGTGGGTTTGGAAACTGCTCCATCTAAAGGAATGTTCAGCTCTGTTAGTTCAATGCAATGATCATTAAGAATTGTCTGTGAATGCTTCCGTTTGGTTTTTAGATGAAGTTATTTCCTTTACTACAGTAGGCCTCAAAGCAGTCCAAATCTCCAATCGCAGATTCTACAAAAAGATTGTTTACAACCTGCTCTATCTATAGGAATGTTCAACTCTGTGAGTCGAATGCAATCATCACAAAGTAGTTTCTGAGAATGCTTCCATAAAGTTCTTATGTGAAGATTTTCCTTTTCCACCACAGGCCTCAAAGCCCTCCAAATGTCCACTTGCAGATTCTAGAAAAAGAGGGTTTCAGAGCTGCTCTGTCAAGAGGAAAGTTCAATTCTTGAAGTGGAACACAAACATCACAATGCAGTTTCTGAGAATGCTCCTGTTTAGTTTTTCTGTGAAGATGAACCCGTTTCCAACGAAATCTTCACAGAGGTCCACATATCCACTTGCAGAATCCAAAGAAAGAGAGTTTCAAAACTGCTCCATCAGAAGGATTGTTCACCTCTGTGAGTTGAATGCAGTCATCACAGGAAACATTCTGAGAATGCTTCTGTCTAGGTTTGATGTGAAGATATACCCGTTTCGAAGGAAGGCCACAAAGTGTTCCAAACATCCACTTGCAGATTCTACAAAAAGAGTGTTTGAAAGCTGAACTATGAAAGCAAGGTGCAACTCTGTGAGTTGAATGCAAACATCACAAAGAAGTTTCTCAGAATGCTTCCGTGTAGTTCTGGGAAGTTTATCCCGTTTCCAACGAAATCCTCAGAGAGGTCCAAATATCCACTTGCAGATTCTACAGAAAGTGTGTTTGGAAACTGCGCCATCTAAAGGAATGTTCAGCTGCTGTTAGTTCAATCCAATGATCACTAAGAATTGTCTGTGAATGCTTCCGTTTGGTTTTTAGATGAAGTTATTTCCTTTACTACAGTAGGCCTCAAAGCAGTCCAAATCTCCAATCGCAGATTCTACAAAAAGATTGTTTACAACCTGCTCTATCTATAGGAATATTCAACTCTGTGAGTCGAATGCAATCATCACAAAGTAGTTTCTGAGAATGCTTCCATCTAGTTTTTATGTGAAGATTTTCCTTTTCCACCACAGGCCTCAAAGCCCTCCAAATGTCCACTTGCAGATTCTAGAATAAGAGGGTTTTAGAGCTGCTCTGTCAAGAGGAAAGTTCAATTCCTGAAGTGGAACACAAACATCACAAAGCAGTTTCTGAGAATGCTTCTGTTTAGTTTTTCTGTGAAGATGAACCCGTTTCCAACGAAATCTTCACAGAGGTCCACATATCCACTTGCAGAATCCAAAGAAAGAGAGTTTCAAAACTGCTCCATCAGCAGGATTGTTCACCTCTGTGAGTTGAATGCAGTCATCACAGGAAACATTCTGAGAATGCTTCTGTCTAGGTTTGATGTGAAGATATACCCTTTTCGAAGGAAGGCCACAAAGTGGTCCAAATATCCACTTGCAGATTCTACAAAAAGAGTGTTTGAAAGCTGAACTATGAAAGCAAGGTGCAAATCCTGTGAGTTGAATGCAAACATCACAAAGAAGTTTCTCAGAATGCTTTCCGTGTAGTTCTGGGAAGTTTATCCCGTTTCCAACGAAATCCTCAGAGAGGTCCAAATATCCACTTGCAGATTCTACAGAAAGTGTGTTTGGAAACTGCGCCATCTAAAGGAATGTTCAGCTCTGTTAGTTCAATGCAATGATCACTAAGAATTGTCTGTGAATGCTTCCGTTTGGTTTTTAGATGAAGTTATTTCCTTTACTACAGTAGGCCTCAAAGCAGTCCAAATCTCCAATCGCAGATTCTACAAAAAGATTGTTTACAACCTGCTCTACCTATAGGAATGTTCAACTCTGTGAGTCGAATGCAATCATCACAAAGTAGTTTCTGAGAATGCTTCCATCTAGTTTTTATGTGAAGATTTTTCCTTTTCCACCACAGGCCTCAAATCCCTCCAAATGTCCACTTGCAGATTCTAGAAAAAGAGGGTTTCAGAGCTGCTCTGTCAAGAGGAAATTTCAATTCTTGAAGTGGAACACAAACATCACAAAGCAGTTTCTGAGAATGCTTCCGTGTATTTCTGGGAAGTTTACCCCGTTTCCAACCGAAATCCTCAGAGAGGTCCAAATATCCACTTGCAGATTCTACAGAAAGTGTGTTTGGAAAATGCTCCATCTAAAGGAATGTTCAGCTCTGTTAGTTCAATCCAATGATCACTAAGAATTGTCTGTGAATGCTTCTGTCTAGGTTTGATGTGAAGATATACCCGTTTCGAAGGAAGGCCACAAAGTGGTCCAAATATCCACTTGCAGATTCTACAAAAAGAGGGTTTGAAAGCTGAACTATGAAAGCAAGGTTCAACTCTGTGAGTTGAATGCAAACATCACAAAGAAGTTTCTCAGAATGCTTCCGTGTAGTTCTGGGAAGTTTATCCCGTTTCCAACGAAATCCTCAGAGAGGTACAAATATCCACTTGCAGATTCTACAGAAAGTGTGTTTGGAAACTGCGCCATCTAAAGGAATATTCAGCTCTGTTAGTTCAATCCAATGATCACTAAGAATTGTCTGGGAATGCTTCCGTTTGGTTTTTAGATGAAGTTATTTCCTTTACTACAGTAGGCCTCAAAGCAGTCCAAATCTCCAATCGCAGATTCTACAAAAAGATTGTTTACAACCTGCTCTATGTATAGGAATGTTCAACTCTGTGAGTCGAATGCAATCATCACAAAGTAGTTTCTGAGAATGCTTCTATCTAGGTTTTATGTGAAGATATTTCCTTTTCCACCACAGGCCTCAAAGCCCTCCAAATGTCCACCTGCAGATTCTAGAAAAAGAGGGTTTCAGAGCTGCTCTGTCAAGAGGAAAGTTCAATTCTTGAAGTGGAACACAAACATCACAAAGCAGTTTCTGAGAATGCTTCTGTTTAGTTTTTCTGTGAAGATGAACGCGTTGCCAACGAAATCTTCACAGAGGTCCACATATCCACTTGCAGAATCCATAGAAAGAGAGTTTCAAAACTGCTCCATCAGCAGGATTGTTCACCTCTGTGAGTTGAATGCAGTCATCACAGGAAACATTCTGAGAATGCTTCTGTCTAGGTTTGATGTGAAGATATACCCGTTTCGAAGGAAGGCCACAAAGTGGTCCAAATATCCACTTGCAGATTCTACAAAAAGAGTGTTTGAAAGCTGAACTATGAAAGCAAGGTTCAACTCTGTGAGTTGAATGCAAACATCACAAAGAAGTTTCTCAGAATGCTTCCGTGTAGTTCTGGGAAGCATATCCCGTTTCCAACGAAATCCTCAGAGAGGTCCAAATATCCACCTTGCATATTCTACAGAAAGTGGGTTTGGAAACTGCTCCATCTAAAGGAATGTTCAGCTCTGTTAGTTCAATCCAATGATCACTAAGCATTGTCAGTGAATGCTTCCGTTTGGTTTTTAGATGAAGTTATTTCCTTTACTACAGTAGGCCTCAAAGCAGTCCAAATCTCCAATCGCAGATTCTACAAAAAGATTGTTTACAACCTGCTCTATCTATAGGAATGTTCAACTCTGTGAGTCGAATGCAATCATCACAAAGTAGTTTCTGAGAATGCTTCCATCTAGTTTTTATGTGAAGATTTTCCTTTTCCACCACAGGCCTCAAAGCCCTCCAAATGTCCACTTGCAGATTCTAGAATAAGAGGGTTTTAGAGCTGCTCTGTCAAGAGGAAAGTTCAATTCCTGAAGTGGAACACAAACATCACAAAGCAGTTTCTGAGAATGCTTCTGTTTAGTTTTTCTGTGAAGATGAACCCGTTTCCAACGAAATCTTCACAGAGGTCCACATATCCACTTGCAGAATCCAAAGAAAGAGAGTTTCAAAACTGCTCCATCAGCAGGATTGTTCACCTCTGTGAGTTGAATGCAGTCATCACAGGAAACATTCTGAGAATGCTTCTGTCTAGGTTTGATGTGAAGATATACCCGTTTCGAAGGAAGGCCACAAAGTGGTCCAAATATCCACTTGCAGATTCTACAAAAAGAGTGTTTGAAAGCTGAACTATGAAAGCAAGTTTCAACTCTGTGAGTTGAATGCAAACATCACAAAGAAGTTTCTCAGAATACTTCCGTGTAGTTCTGGGAAGTTTATCCCGTTTCCAACGAAATCCTCAGAGAGGTCCAAATATCCACTTGCAGATTCTACAGAAAGTGTGTTTGGAAACTGCGCTATCTAAGGGAATGTTCAGCTCTGTTAGTTCAATCCAATGATCACTAAGAATTGTCTGTGAATGCTTTCCGTTTGGTTTTTAGATGAAGTTATTTCCTTTACTACAGTAGGCCTCAAAGCAGTCCAAATCTCCAATCGCAGATTCTACAAAAAGATTGTTTACAACCTGCTCTATCTATAGGAATGTTCAACTCTGTGAGTCGAATGCAATCATCACAAAGTAGTTTCTGAGAATGATTCCATCTAGTTTTTATGTGAAGATTTTCCTTTTCCACCACAGGCCTCAAAGCCCTCCAAATGTCCACTTGCAGATTCTAGAAAAAGAGGGTTTCAGAGCTGCTCTGTCAAGAGGAAAGTTCAATTCCTGAAGTGGAACACAAACATCACAAAGCAGTTTCTGAGAATGCTTCTGTTTAGTTTTTCTGTGAAGATGAACCCGTTTCCAACGAAATCTTCACAGAGGTCCACATATCCACTTGCAGAATCCAAAGAAAGAGAGTTTCAAAACTGCTCCATCAGCAGGATTGTTCACCTCTGTGAGTTGAATGCAGTCATCACAGGAAACATTCTGAGAAGGCTTCTGTCTAGGTTTGATGTGAAGATATACCCGTTTCGAAGGAAGGCCACAAAGTGGTCCAAATATCCACTTGCAGATTCTACAAAAAGAGTGTTTGAAAGCTGAACTATGAAAGCAAGGTTCAACTCTGTGAGTTGAATGCAAACATCACAAAGAAGTTTCTCAGAATGCTTCTCGTGTAGTTCCTGGGAAGTTTATCCCTTTTCCAACGATATCCTCAGAGAGGTCCAAATATCCACTTGCAGATTCTACAGAAAGGGTGTTTGGAAACTGCGCCATCTAAAGCAATGTTCAGCTCTGTTAGTTCAATGCAATGATCACTAAGAATTGTCTGTGAATGCTTCCGTTTGGTTTTTAGATGAAGTTATTTCCTTTACTACAGTAGGCCTCAAAGCAGTCCAAATCTCCAATCGCAGATTCTACAAAAAGATTGTTTACAACCTGCTCTATCTATAGGAATGTTCAACTCTGTGAGTCGAATGCAATCATCACAAAGTAGTTTCTGAGAATGCTTCCATCTAGTTTTTATGTGAAGATTTTCCTTTTCCACCACAGGCCTCAAAGCCCTCCAAATGACCACTTGCAGATTCTAGAAAAAGAGGGTTTCAGAGCTGCTCTGTCAAGAGGAAAGTTCAATTCCTGAAGTGGAACACAAACATCACAAAGCAGTTTCTGAAAATGCTTCTGTTTAGTTTTTCTGTCAAGATGAACCCGTTTCCAACGAAATCTTCACAGAGGTCCACATATCCACTTGCAGAATCCAAAGAAAGAGAGTTTCAAAACTGTTCCATCAGCAGGATTGTTCACCTCTGTGAGTTGAATGCAGTCATCACAGGAAACATTCTGAGAATGCTTCTGTCTAGGTTTGATGTGAAGATATACCCGTTTCGAAGGAAGGCCACAAAGTGGTCCAAATATTCACTTGCAGATTCTACAAAAAGAGTGTTTGAAAGCTGAACTATGAAAGCAAGGTTCAACTCTGTGAGTTGAATGCAAACATCACAAAGAAGTTTCTCACAATGCTTCCGTGTAGTTCTGGGAAGTTTATCCCGTTTCCAACGAAATCCTCAGAGAAGTCCCAATATCCACTTGCAGATTCTACAGAAAGTGTGTTTGGAAACTGCTCCATCTAAAGGAATGTTCAGCTCTGTTAGTTCAATCCAATGATCACTAAGAATTGTCTGTGAATGCTTCCGTTTGGTTTTTAGATGAAGTTATTTCCTTTACTACAGTAGGCCTCAAAGCAGTCCAAATCTCCAATCGCAGATTCTACAAAAAGATTGTTTACAACCTGCTCTATCTATAGGAATGTTCAACTCTGTGAGTCGAATGCCATCATCACAAAGTAGTTTGTGAGAATGCTTCCATCTAGTTTTTATGTGAAGATTTTCCTTTTCCACCACAGGCCTCAAAGCCCTCCAAATGTCCCCTTGCAGATTCTAGAAAAAGAGGGATTCAGAGCTGCTCTGTCAAGAGGAAAGTTCAATTCCTGAAGTGGAACACAAACATCACAAAGCAGTTTCTGAGAATGCTTCTGTTTAGTTTTTCTGTGAAGATGAACCCGTTTCCAACGAAATCTTCACAGAGGTCCACATATCCACTTGCAGAATCCAAAGAAAGAGAGTTTCAAAACTGCTCCATCAGCAGGATTGTTCACCTCTGTGAGTTGAATGCAGTCATCACAGGAAACATTCTGAGAATGCTTCTGTCTAGGTTTGATGTGAAGATATACCCGTTTCGAAGGAAGGCCACAAAGTGGTCCAAATATCCTCTTGCAGATTCTACAAAAAGAGTGTTTGAAAGCTGAACTATGAAAGCAAGGTTCAAATCTGTGAGTTGAATGCAAACATCACAAAGAAGTTTCTCAGAAGGCTTCCGTGTAGTTCTGGGAATTTTATCCCGTTTCCAACGAAATCCTCAGAGAAGTCCAAATATCCACTTGCAGATTCTACAGAAAGTGTGTTTGGAAAATGCTCCATCTACAGGAATGTTCAGCTCTGTTAGTTCAATGCAATGATCACTAAGAATTGTCTGTGAATGCTTCCGTTTGGTTTTTAGATGAAGTTATTTCCTTTACTACAGTAGGCCTCAAAGCAGTCCAAATCTCCAATCGCAGATTCTACAAAAAGATTGTTTACAACCTGCTCTATCTATAGGAATGTTCAACTCTGTGAGTCGAATGCAATCATCACAAAGGAGTTTCTGAGAATGCTTCCATCTGGTTTTTATGTGAAGATTTTCCTTTTCCACCACAGGCCTCAAAGCCCTCCAAATGTCCACTTGCAGATTCTAGAATAAGAGGGTTTCAGAGCTGCTCTGTCAAGAGGAAAGTTCAATTCCTGAAGTGGAACACAAACATCACAAAGCAGTTTCTGAGAATGCTCCTGTTTAGTTTTTCTGTGAAGATGAACCCGTTTCCAACGAAATCTTCACAGAGGTCCACATATCCACTTGCAGAATCCAAAGAAAGAGAGTTTCAAAACTGCTCCAACAACAGGATTGTTCACCTCTGTGAGTTCAATGCAGTCATCACAGGAAACATTCTGAGAATGCTTCTGTCTAGGTTTGATGTGAAGATATACCCTTTTCAAAGGAAGGCCACAAAGTGGTCCAAATATCCACTTGCAGATTCTACAAAAAGAGTGTTTGAAAGCTGAACTATGAAAGCAAGGTTCAACTCTGTGAGTTGAATGCAAACATCACAAAGAAGTTTCTCACAATGCTTCCGTGTAGTTCTGGGAAGTTTATCCCGTTTCCAACGAAATCCTCAGAGAAGTCCAAATATCCACTTGCACATTCTACAGAAAGTGTGTTTGGAAACTGCTCCATCTAAAGGAATGTTCAGCTCTGTTAGTTCAATGCAATGATCACTAAGAATTGTCTGTGAATGCTTCCGTTTGGTTTTTAGATGAAGTTATTTCCTTTACTACAGTAGGCCTCAAAGCAGTCCAAATCTCCAATCGCAGATTCTACAAAAAGATTGTTTACAACCTGCTCTATCTATAGGAATGTTCAACTCTGTGAGTCGAATGCAATCATCACAAAGTAGTTTCTGAGAATGCTTCCATCTAGTTTTTATGTGAAGATTTTCCTTTTCCACCACAGGCCTCAAAGCCCTCCAAATATCCACTTGCAGATTCTAGAAAAAGAGGGTTTCAGAGCTGCTCTGTCAAGAGGAAAGTTCAATTCTTGAAGTGGAACACAAACATCACAAAGCAGTTTCTGAGAATGGTCCTGTTTAGTTTTTCTGTGAAGATGAACCCGTTTCCAACGAAATCTTCACAGAGGTCCACATATCCACTTGCAGAATCCAAAGAAGGAGAGTTTCAAAACTGCTCCATCAGCAGGATTGTTCACCTCTGTGAGTTGAATGCAGTCATCACAGGAAACATTCTGAGAATGCTTCTGTCTAGGTTTGATGTGAAGATATACCCGTTTCGAAGGAAGGCCACAAAGTGGTCCAAATATCCACTTGCAGATTCTACAAAAAGAGTGTTTGAAAGCTGAACTATGAAAGCAAGGTTCAACTCTGTGAGTTGAATGCAAACATCACAAAGAAGTTTCTCACAATGCTTCCCTGTAGTTCTGGGAAGTTTATCCCGTTTCCAACGAAATCCTCAGAGAAGTCCAAATATCCACTTGCAGATTCTACAGAAAGTGTGTTTGGAAACTGCTCCATCTAAAGGAATGTTCAGCTCCGTTAGTTCAATCCAATGATCACTAAGAATTGTCTGTGAATGCTTCCGTTTGGTTTTTAGATGAAGTAATTTCCTTTACTACAGTAGGCCTCAAAGCAGTCCAAATCTCCAATCGCAGATTCTACAAAAAGATTGTTTACAACCTGCTCTACCTATGGGAATGTTCAACTCTGTGAGTCGAATGCAATCATCACAAAGTAGTTTCTGAGAATGCTTCCATCTAGTTTTTATGTGAAGATTTTCCTTTTCCACCACAGGCCTCAAAGCCCTCCAAATGTCCACTTGCAGATTCTAGAAAAAGAGGGTTTCAGAGCTGCTCTGTCAAGAGGAAACTTCAATTCTTGAAGTGGAACACAAACATCACAAAGCAGTTTCTGAGAATGCTTCTGTTTAGTTTTTCTGTGAAGATGAACCCGTTTCCAACGAAATCTTCAGAGAGGTCCACACATCCACTTGCAGATTCCAAAGAAAGAGAGTTTCAAAACTGCTCCATCAACAGGATTGTTCACCTCTGTGAGTTGAATGCAGTCATCACAGGAAACATTCTGAGAATGCTTCTGTCTAGGTTTGATGTGAAGATATACCCGTTTCGAAGGAAGGCCACAAAGTGGTCCAAATATCCACTTGCAGATTCTACAAAAAGAGTGTTTGAAAGCTGAACTATGAAAGCAAGGTTCAACTCTGTGAGTTGAATGCAAACATCAAAAAGAAGTTTCTCAGAATGCTTCCGTGTAGTTCTGGGAAGTTTATACCCTTTCCAACGAAATCCTCAGAGAGGTCCAAATATCCACTTGCAGATTCTACAGAAAGTGTGTTTGGAAACTGCGCCATCTAAAGGAATGTTCAGCTCTCTGAGTTCAAACCAACCATCACAAAGAATTGCCTGTGAATGATTCCGTTTGGTTTTTAGATGAAGTTATTTCCTTTACTACAGTAGGCCTCAAAGCAGTCCAAATCTCCAATCGCAGATTCTACAAAAACATTGTTTACAACCTGCTCTATCTATAGGAATGTTCAACTCTGTGAGTCGAATGCAATCATCACAAAGTAGTTTCTGAGAATGCTTCCATCTAGTTTTTATGTGAAGATTTTCCTTTTCCACCACAGGCCTCAAAGCCCTCCAAATGTCCACTTGCAGATTCTAGAATAAGAGGGTTTCAGAGCTGCTCTGTTAAGAGGAAAGTTCAATTCCTGAAGTGGAACACAAACATCACAAAGCAGTTTCTGAGAATGCTCCTGTTTAGTTTTTCTGTGAAGATGAACCCGTTTCCAACGAAATCTTCACAGAGGTCCACATATCCACTTGCAGAATCCAAAGAAAGAGAGTTTCAAAACTGCTCCATCAGCAGGATTGTTCACCTCTGTGAGTTGAATGCAGTCATCACAGGAAACATTCTGAGAATGCTTCTGTCTAGGTTTGATGTGAAGATATACCCGTTTCGAAGGAAGGCCACAAAGTGGTCCAAATATCCACTTGCAGATTCTACAAAAAGAGTGTTTGAAAGCTGAACTATGAAAGCAAGGTTCAACTCTGTGAGTTGAATGCAAACATCACAAAGAAGTTTCTCACAATGCTTCCGTGTAGTTCTGGGAAGTTTATCCCGTTTCCAACGAAATCCTCAGAGAAGTCCAAATATCCACTTGCAGATTCTACAGAAAGTGTGTTTGGAAACTGCTCCATCTAAAGGAATGTTCAGCTCTGTTAGTTCAATGCAATGATCACTAAGAATTGTACTGTGAATGCTTCCGTTTGGTTTTTAGATGAAGTTATTTCCTTTACTACAGTAGGCCTCAAAGCAGTCCAAATCTCCAATCGCAGATTCTACAAAAACATTGTTTACAACCTGCTCTATCTATAGGAATGTTCAACTCTGTGAGTCGAATGCAATCATCACAAAGTAGTTTCTGAGAATGCTTCCATCTAGTTTTTATGTGAAGAGTTTCCTTTTCCACCACAGGCCTCAAAGCCCTCCAAATGTCCCCTTGCAGATTCTAGAAAAAGAGGGTTTCAGAGCTGCTCTGTCAAGAGGAAAGTTCAATTCCTGAAGTGGAACACAAACATCACAAAGCAGTTTCTGAGAATGCTCCTGTTTAGTTTTTCTGTGAAGATGAACCCGTTTCCAACGAAATCTTCACAGAGGTCCACATATCCACTTGCAGAATCCAAAGAAAGAGAGTTTCAAAACTGCTCCATCAGCAGGATTGTTCACCTCTGTGAGTTGAATGCAGTCATCACAGGAAACATTCTGAGAATGCTTCTGTCTAGGTTTGATGTGAAGATATACCCGTTTCGAAGGAAGGCCACAAAGTGGTCCAAATATCCACTTGCAGATTCCACAAAAAGAGTGTTTGAAAGCTGAACTATGAAAGCAAGGTTCAACTCTGTGAGTTGAATGCTAACATCACAGAGAAGTTTCTCACAATGCTTTCCGTGTAGTTCTGGGAAGTTTATCCCGTGTCCAACGAAATCCTCAGAGAGGTCCAAATATCCACTTGCAGATTCTACAGAAAGTGTGTTTGGAAACTGCGCCATCTAAAGGAATGTTCAGCTCTGTTAGTTCAATGCAATGATCACTAAGAATTGTCTGTGAATGCTTCCGTTTGGTTTTTAGATGAAGTTATTTCCTTTACTACAGTAGGCCTCAAAGCAGTCCAAATCTCCAATCGCAGATTCTACAAAAAGATTGTTTACAACCTGCTCTATCTATAGGAATGTTCAACTCTGTGAGTCGAATGCAATCATCACAAAGTAGTTTCTGAGAATGCTTCCATCTAGTTTTTATGTGAAGATTTTCCTTTTCCACCACAGGCCTCAACGCCCTCCAAATGTCCACTTGCAGATTCTAGAATAAGAGGGTTTCAGAGCTGCTCTGTCAAGAGGAAAGTTCAATTCCTGAAGTGGAACACAAACATCACAAAGCAGTTTACTGAGAATGCTTTCTGTTTAGATTTTCTGTGAAGATGAACCCGTTTCCAACGAAATCTTCACAGAGGTCCACATATCAACTTGCAGAATCCAAAGAAAGAGAGTTTCAAAACTGCTCCATCAACAGGATTGTTCACCTCTGTGAGTTGAATGCAGTCATCACAGGAAACATTCTGAGAATGCTTCTGTCTAGGTTTGATGTGAAGATATACCCGTTTCGAAGGAAGGCCACAAAGTGGTCCAAATATCCACTTGCAGATTCTACAAAAAGAGGGTTTGAAAGCTGAACTATGAAAGCAAGGTTCAACTCTGTGAGTTGAATGCAAACATCACAAAGAAGTTTCTCAGAATGCTTCCGTGTAGTTCTGGGAAGTATATCCCTTTTCCAACGAAATCCTCAGAGAGGTCCAAATATCCACTTGCAGATTCTACAGAAAGTGGGTTTGGAAACTGCTCCATCTAAAGGAATGTTCAGCTCTGTTAGTTCAATCCAATGATCACTAAGAATTGTCTGTGAATGCTTCCGTTTGGTTTTTAGATGAAGTTATTTCCTTTACTACAGTAGGCCTCAAAGCAGTCCAAATCTCCAATCGCAGATTCTACAAAAAGATTGTTTACAACCTGCTCTATCTATAGGAATGTTCAACTCTGTGAGTCGAATGCAATCATCACAAAGTAGTTTCTGAGAATGCTTCCATCTAGTTTTTATGTGAAGATTTTCCTTTTCCACCACAGGCCTCAAAGCCCTCCAAATGTCCACTTGCAGATTCTAGAATAAGAGGATTTCAGAGCTGCTCTGTC